>NC_000023.11:58804605-58988881 GCF_000001405.40 Homo sapiens | reverse complement strand
TCCCGTTTGCCTTTTATATGAAGTTCCTTCCTGTACTACCGTAGGCCTCAAAGCAGTCCAAATCTCCATTTGCAGATTCTATAAAAAGAGTGATTCCAATCTGCTCTATCAATAGGATTGTTCAACTCCATGAGTTGAATGCCATCCTCACAAAGTAGTTTCTGAGAATGCTTCTATCTAGTTTTTATGTGAAGGTATTTCCTTTTCCACCACAGGCCTCCAAGCCCTCCAAACGTCCACTTGCAGATTCTCGAAAAAGAGTGTTTCATAGCTGCTCTTTCAAAAGGAAAGTTCAACTCTGGGAGTTGAATACAAACATCACAAAGTAGTTTCCGAGAATGCTTCTGTTTAGTTTTTATGTGAAGATGATCCCGTTTCCAGTGAAATCTTCAAAGAGGTCCACATATCCCCTTGCAGATTCCAAAGAAAGAGGGTTTCAAAACTGCTCCATCAGAAGGATTGTTCAACTCTGTGAGTTGAATGCAGTCATCGCAGAAAACTTTCTGAGAATGCTTCTGTCTAGGTTTGATGTGAAGATATAGACGTTTCAAACGAAGGCTACAAAGTGGTCAAAATATACACTTGCAGATTCTACTACAAGGGTGTTGCAAACGTGAACTATCAAAGGAAGGTTCAACTCTGTGAATTGAATACAAACATCACAAAGAATGTTCTGAGTTTGCTTCCGTTCAGTTATGGGAAGTTGATCCCGTTTCCAACGAAATCCTCAGAGAGGTCCAAATATCCCCTCGCAGATTCTACAAAACGTGTGTTTGGAAACTGCTCCATCATAACGAATGTTCAGCTCCCTGAGTTAAACTCCATCGTCACAAAGAATTTTCTGAGAGTGCTACCGTCTGGTTTTTATATGAAGTTCTTTCCTTCACTACCACAGGCCTCAAAGCGGTCCAAATCTCCACTTGCAGATTCTACAAAAAGAGTGTTTGCAAACTGCTCTATCAAAAGGAATGTTCAACTCTGGGAGTTGAATGCAATCATCACAGAGCAGTTTCTGAGAATGCTTCTATGTCGTTTTTAGGAGAAGATATTTCCTTTTCCAACACAGTCCTCCAAGCCCGCTAAATAGCCACTTGCACATTGTAGAAAAAGTGTGTCAAAGCTGCGCTATCAAAGGGAAAGTTCAACTACTGTGAGGTGAATGCAAACATCCCAAAGAAGTTTCTGAGAATGCTTCCGTTTAGCTTTTAGGTGAAGATTATCCCGTTTCCAACGAAATCTTCAAAGAGGTCCAAATATCCCCTTGCGGATCCCACAGAAAGAGTGTTTCGAAACTGCTGTTTCAAAAGGAATCTTAAACTCTGTGAATTGAATGCAATCATCACAAAGAAGTTTCTGACAATGCTTCTCTCTCGTCTTTCTGTGAAGATAAAGGAAAAGGCTTTCAGGCCTTTTCCACCACAGGCCTGAAAGCGCTCCAAATGTCCACTTGCAGATTCTGTGAAAAGAATATTTCAAAACTGCTCTATGAAAAGCAATGTTAAACTCTGTGGCTCGAACACAAACATCACAAAGCGGTTTCTGAGAATGCTTCAGTTTAGTTTTTCTGTGGAGATATTCCCATTTCCAAAGAAATCTTCTAAGAGTTCCACATATCCACTTACATATTCTACAAAAAGACAGATTCAAAACTGCTCAATCAAAAGGAGGATTCAACCCTGTGACTTGAATCCAATCATCACACAGAAGTTTCTGAGAATGCTTCTCTTTAGTTTTTACGTGAACATATACCCATTTCGAACGAAGGCCACACAGTGGTCCAAATATCCACTTGCAGATTCTACAGAAAGAGTGTTTCAAACCTGAAATCTCAAAGGAAGGTTCATCTCTGTGAGTTAAATACATTCATCATGAAGAACTTTCTCAGACTGTTTGTGTTTAGATATGGGAAATTTCTCCCGTTTCCAACGAAATCCTTAGAGAGGTCCAAATATCCCCTTGCAGATTCTACCAAAAGTGTATTTGGAAACTGCTCCATCAAAAGACACGTTCAGCTCTGTTAGTTAAACTCCATCATCACAAAGAATATTCTGAGAATGCTTCCGTTTGCTTTTTTATGAATTTCCTTCCTATACTACCGTAGGCCTCAAAGCAGTCCAAATCTCCATTTGCAGATTCTACAAAAAGAGTGTTTCCAATCTGCTCTATCAATAGGATTGTTCAACTCCGTGAGTTGAATGCCATCGTCACAAATTAATTTCTGAGAATGCTTCTATCTAGTTTTTATGTGAAGATATTTCCTTTTCCACCACAGGCCTCAAAGCCCTCCAAACGTCCACTTGTAGATTCTCCAAAAAGAGTGTTTCATAGCTGCTCTTTCAAAAGGAATGTTCAACTCTGGCAGTTGAATGCAAACATCACAAAGTAGTTTCCGAGAATGCTTCCTGTTTAGTTTTTATGTGAAGATGATCCCGTTTCCAGTGAAATCTTCAAAGAGGTCCACATATCCCCTTGCAGATTCCAAAGAAAGAGGGTTTCAAAACTGCTCCATCAGAAGGATTGTTCAACTCTGTGAGTTGAATGCAGTCATCGCAGAAAACTTTCTGAGAATGCTTCTGTCTAGGTTTGATGTGAAGATATAGCATGTTTCAAACGAAGGCTACAAAGTGGTCAAAATATACACTTGCAGATTCTACTACAAGGGTGTTGCAAACCTGAACTATCAAAGGAAGGTTCAACTCTGTGAGTTGAATACAAACATCACAAAGAATGTTCTGAGTTTGCTTCCGTTCAGTTATGGGAAGTTGATCCCGTTTCCAACGAAATCCTCAGAGAGGTCCAAATATCCCCTCGCAGATTCTACAAAACGTGTGTTTGGAAACTGCTCCATCATAACGAATGTTCAGCTCCCTGAGTTAAACTCCATCGTCACAAAGAATTTTCTGAGAGTGCTACCGTCTGGTTTTTATATGAAGTTCTTTCCTTCACTACCACAGGCCTCAAAGCGGTCCAAATCTCCACTTGCAGATTCTACAAAAAGAGTGTTTGCAAACTGCTCTATCAAAAGGAATGTTCAACTCTGGGAGTTGAATGCAATCATCACAGAGCAGTTTCTGAGAATGCTTCTATGTCGTTTTTAGGAGAAGATATTTCCTTTTCCAACACAGTCCTCCAAGCCCGCTAAATAGCCACTTGCACATTGTAGAAAAAGTGTGTCAAAGCTGCGCTATCAAAGGGAAAGTTCAACTCTGTGAGGTGAATGCAAACATCCCAAAGAAGTTTCTGAGAATGCTTCCGTTTAGCTTTTAGGTGAAGATTATCCCGTTTCCAACGAAACCTTCAAAGAGGTCCAAATATCCCCTTGCGGATCCCACAGAAAGAGTGTTTCGAAACTGCTGTTTCAAAAGGAATCTTCAACTCTGTGAGTTGAATGCAATCATCACAAAGAAGTTTCTGACAATGCTTCTCTCTCGTCTTTCTGTGAAGATAAAGGAAAAGGCTTTCAGGCCTTTTCCACCACAGGCCTGAAAGCGCTCCAAATGTCCACTTGCAGATTCTGCCAAAAGAATATTTCAAAACTGCTCTATGAAAAGCAATGTTAAACTCTGCGGCTCGAACACAAACATCACAAAGCGGTTTCTGAGAATGCTTCAGTTTAGTTTTTCTGTGGAAATATTCCCGTTTCCAAAGAAATCTTCAAAGAGGTCCACGTATCCACTTACAGATTCTACAAAAAGACAGTTTCAAAACTGCTCCATCAAAAGGAGGGTTCAACCGTGTGACTTGAATGCAATCATCACTCAGAAGTTTCTGAGAATGCTTCTCTTTAGTTTTTACGTGAACATATACCCGTTTCGAACGAAGGCCACCCAGTGGTCCAAATATCCACTTGCAGATTCTACAGAAAGAGTGTTTCGAACCTGAACTCTCAAAGGCAGGTTCATCTCTGCGAGTTAAATGCATTCATCATGAAGAACTTTCTCAGCGTGTTTGTGTTTAGGTATGGGAAATTATTCCCGTTTCCAACGAAATCCTCAAAGAGCTCCAAATATCCACCTGCAGATTCTACCAAAAGTGTATTTGGAAACTGCTCCATCAAAAGGCATGTTCAGCTCTGTGAGTGAAACTCCATCATCACAAAGAATATTCTGAGAATGCTTCCGTTTGCCTTTTATCTGAAGTTCCTTCCTATACGACCGTAGGCCTCAAAGCAGTCCAAATCTCCATTTGCAGATTCTACAAAAAGAGTGATTCCAATCTGCTCTATCAATAGGATTGTTCAACTCCATGAGTTGAATGCCATCCTCACAAAGTAGTTTCTGAGAATGCTTCTATCTAGTTTTTATGTGAAGATATTTCCTTTTCCACCACAGGCCTCAAAGCCCTCCAAACGTCCACTTGCAGATTCTCGAAAAAGAGTGTTTCATAGCTGCTCTTTCAAAAGGAAAGTTCAACTCTGGGAGTTGAATACAAACATCACAAAGTAGTTTCCGAGAATGCTTCTGTTTAGTTTTTATGTGAAGATGATCCCGTTTCCAGTGAAATCTTCAAAGAGGTCCACATATCCCCTTGCAGATTCCAAAGAAAGAGGGTTTCAAAACTGCTCCATCAGAAGGATTGTTCAACTCTGTGAGTTGAATGCAGTCATCGCAGAAAACTTTCTGAGAATGCTTCTGTCTAGGTTTGATGTGAAGATATAGACGTTTCAAACGAAGGCTACAAAGTGGTCAAAATATACACTTGCAGATTCTACTACAAGGGTGTTGCAAACCTGAACTATCAAAGGAAGGTTCAACTCTGTGAGTTGAATACAAACGTCACAAAGAATGTTCTGAGTTTGCTTCCGTTCAGTTATGGGAAGTTGATCCCGTTTCCAACGAAATCCTCAGAGAGGTCCAAATATCCCCTTGCAGATTCTACAAAACGTGTGTTTGGAAACTGCTCCATCATAACGAATGTTCAGCTCCCTGAGTTAAACTCCATCGTCACAAAGAATTTTCTGAGAGTGCTACCGTCTGGTTTTTATATGAAGTTCTTTCCTTCACTACCACAGGCCTCAAAGCGGTCCAAATCTCCACTTGCAGATTCTACAAAAAGAGTGTTTGCAAACTGCTCTATCAAAAGGAATGTTCAACTCTGGGAGTTGAATGCAATCATCACAGAGCAGTTTCTGAGAATGCTTCTATGTCGTTTTTAGGAGAAGATATTTCCTTTTCCAACACAGTCCTCCAAGCCCGCTAAATAGCCACTTGCACATTGTAGAAAAAGTGTGTCAAAGCTGCGCTATCAAAGGGAAAGTTCAACTCTGTGAGGTGAATGCAAACATCCCAAAGAAGTTTCTGAGAATGCTTCCGTTTAGCTTTTAGGTGAAGATTATCCCGTTTCCAACGAAACCTTCAAAGAGGTCCAAATATCCCCTTGCGGATCCCACAGAAAGAGTGTTTCGAAACTGCTGTTTCAAAAGGAATCTTCAACTCTGTGAGTTGAATGCAATCATCACAAAGAAGTTTCTGACAATGCTTCTCTCTCGTCTTTCTGTGAAGATAAAGGAAAAGGCTTTCAGGCCTGTTCCACCACAGGCCTGAAAGCGCTCCAAATGTCCACTTGCAGATTCTGCGAAAAGAATATTTCAAAACTGCTCTATGAAAAGCAATGTTAAACTCTGTGGCTGGAACACAAACATCACAAAGCGGTTTCTGAGAATGTTTCAGTTTAGTTTTTCTGTGGAAATATTCCCGTTTCCAAAGAAATCTTCAAAGAGGTCCACGTATCCACTTACAGATTCTACAAAAAGACAGTTTCAAAACTGCTCCATCAAAAGGAGGGTTCAACTGTGTGACTTGAATGCAATCATCACTCAGAAGTTTCTGAGAATGCTTCTCTTTAGTTTTTACGTGAACATATACCCGTTTCGAACGAAGGCCACCCAGTGGTCCAAATATCCACTTGCAGATTATACAGAAAGAGTGTTTCGAACCTGAACTCTCAAAGGCAGGTTCATCTCTGCGAGTTAAATGCATTCATCATGAAGAACTTTCTCAGAGTGTTTGTGTTTAGTTATGGGAAATTATTCCCGTTTCCAACGAAATCCTCAGAGAGCTCCAAATATCCACCTGCAGATTCTACCAAAAGTGTATTTGGAAACTGCTCCATCAAAAGGCATGTTCAGCTCTGTCAGTGAAACTCCATCATCACAAAGAATATTCTGAGAATGCTTCCGTTTGCCTTTTATATGAAGTTCCTTCCTGTACTACCGTAGGCCTCAAAGCAGTCCAAATCTCCATTTGCAGATTCTACAAAAAGAGTGATTCCAATCTGCTCTATCAATAGGATTGTTCAACTCCATGAGTTGAATGCCATCCTCACAAAGTCGTTTCTGAGAATGCTTCTATCTGGTTTTTGTGTGAAGATATTTCCTTTTCCACCACAGGCCTCAAAGCCCTCCAAACGTCCACTTGCAGATTCTCGAAAAAGAGTGTTTCATAGCTGCTCTTTCAAAAGGAAAGTTCAACTCTGGGAGTTGAATACAAACATCACAAAATAGTTTCCGAGAATGCTTCTGTTTAGTTTTTATGTGAAGATGATCCCGTTTCCAGTGAAATCTTCAAAGAGGTCCACATATCCCCTTGCAGATTCCAAAGAAAGAGGGTTTCAAAACTGCTCCATCAGAAGGATTGTTCAACTCTGTGAGTTGAATGCAGTCATCGCAGAAAACTTTCTGAGAATGCTTCTGTCTAGGTTTGATGTGAAGATATAGACGTTTCAAACGAAGGCTACAAAGTGGTCAAAATATACACTTGCAGATTCTACTACAAGGGTGTTGCAAACCTGAACTATCAAAGGAAGGTTCAACTCTGTGAGTTGAATACAAACATCACAAAGAATGTTCTGAGTTTGCTTCCGTTCAGTTATGGGATGTTGATCCCGTTTCCAACGAAATCCTCAGAGAGGTCCAAATATCCCCTTGCAGATTCTACAAAACGTGTGTTTGGAAACTGCTCCATCATAACGAATGTTCAGCTCCCTGAGTTAAACTCCATCGTCACAAAGAATTTTCTGAGAGTGCTACCGTCTGGTTTTTATATGAAGCTCTTTCCTTCACTACCACAGGCCTCAAAGCGGTCCAAATCTCCACTTCCAGATTCTACAAAAAGAGTGTTTGCAAACTGCTCTATCAAAAGGAATGTTCAACTCTGGGAGTTGAATGCAATCATCACAGAGCAGTTTCTGAGAATGCTTCTATGTCGTTTTTAGGAGAAGATATTTCCTTTTCCAACACAGTCCTCCAAGCCCGCTAAATAGCCACTTGCACATTGTAGAAAACGTGTGTCAAAGCTGCGCTATCAAAGGGAAAGTTCAACTCTGTGAGGTGAATGCAAACATCCCAAAGAAGTTTCTGAGAATGCTTCCGTTTAGCTTTTAGGTGAAGATTATCCCGTTTCCAACGAAACCTTCAAAGAGGTCCAAATATCCCCTTGCGGATCCCACAGAAAGAGTGTTTCGAAACTGCTGTTTCAAAAGGAATCTTCAACTCTGTGAGTTGAATGCAATCATCACAAAGAAGTTTCTGACAATGCTTCTCTCTCGTCTTTCTGTGAAGATAAAGGAAAAGGCTTTCAGGCCTTTTCCACCACAGGCCTGAAAGCGCTCCAAATGTCCACTTGCAGATTCTGCCAAAAGAATATTTCAAAACTGCTCTATGAAAAGCAATGTTAAACTCTGTGGCTCGAACACAAACATCACAAAGCGGTTTCTGAGAATGCTTCAGTTTAGTTTTTCTGTGGAAATATTCCCGTTTCCAAAGAAATCTTCAAAGAGGTCCACGTATCCACTTACAGATTCTACAAAAAGACAGTTTCAAAACTGCTCCATCAAAAGGAGGGTTCAACCGTGTGACTTGAATGCAATCATCATTCAGAAGTTTCTGAGAATGCTTCTCTTTAGTTTTTACGTGAACATATACCCGTTTCGAACGAAGGCCACCCAGTGGTCCAAATATCCACTTGCAGATTCTACAGAAAGAGTGTTTCGAACCTGAACTCTCAAAGGCAGGTTCATCTCTGCGAGTTAAATGCATTCATCATGAAGAACATTCTCAGCGTGTTTGTGTTTAGTTATGGGAAATTATTCCCTTATCCAACGAAATCCTCAGAGAGCTCCAAATATCCACCTGCAGATTCTACCAGAAGTGTATTTGGAAACTGCTCCATCAAAAGGCATGTTCAGCTCTGTGAGTGAAACTCCATCATCACAAAGAATATTCTGAGAATGCGTCCGTTTGCCTTTTATATGAAGTTCCTTCCTGTACTACCGTAGGCCTCAAAGCAGTCCAAATCTCCATTTGCCGATTCTACAAAAAGAGTGATTCCAATGTGCTCTATCATTAGGATTGTTCAACTCCATGAGTTGAATGCCGTCCTCACAAAGTCGTTTCTGAGAATGCTTCTATCTAGTTTTTATGTGAAGATATTTCCTTTTCCACCACAGGCCTCAAAGCCCTCCAAACGTCCACTTGCAGATTCTCGAAAAAGAGTGTTTCATAGCTGCTCTTTCAAAAGGAAAGTTCAACTCTGGGAGTTGAATACAAACATCACAAAGTAGTTTCCGAGAATGCTTCTGTTTAGTTCTTATGTGAAGATGATCCCGTTTCCAGTGAAATCTTCAAAGAGGTCCACATATCCCCTTGCAGATTCCAAAGAAAGAGGGTTTCAAAACTGCTCCATCAAAAGGATTGTTCAACTCTGTGAGTTGAATGCAGTCATCGCAGAAAACTTTCTGAGAATGCTTCTGTCTAGGTTTGATGTGAAGATATAGACGTTTCAAACGAAGGCTACAAAGTGGTCAAAATATACACTTGCAGATTCTACTACAAGGGTGTTGCAAACCTGAACTATCAAAGGAAGGTTCAACTCTGTGAGTTGAATACAAACATCACAAAGAATGTTCTGAGTTTGCTTCCGTTCAGTTATGGGAAGTTGATCCCGTTTCCAACGAAATCCTCAGAGAGGTCCAAATATCCCCTTGCAGATTCTACAAAACGTGTGTTTGGAAACTGCTCCATCATAACGAATGTTCAGCTCTCTGAGTTAAACTCCATCGTCACAAAGAATTTTCTGAGAGTGCTACCGTCTAGTTTTTATAGGAAGTTCTTTCCTTTACTACCACAGGCCTCAAAGCGGTCCAAATCTCCACTTGCAGATTCTACAAAAAGAGTGTTTGCAAACTGCTCTATCAAAAGGAATGTTCAACTCTGGGAGTTGAATGCAATCATCACAGAGCAGTTTCTGAGAATGCTTCTATGTGGTTTTTAGGAGAAGATATTTCCTTTTCCAACACAGTCCTGCAAGCACGCTAAATATCCACTTGCACATTTTAGAAAAAGTGTGTCGAAGCTGCGCTATCAAAGGGAAAGTTCGACTCTGTGAGGTGAATGCAAACATCCCAAAGAAGTTTCTGAGAATGCTTCCGTTTAGCTTTTAGGTGAAGATTATCCCGTTTCCAACGAAATCTTCAAAGAGGTCCAAATATCCCCTTGCGGATCCCACAGAAAGAGTGTTTCGAAACTGCTGTTTCAAAAGGAATCTTCAACTCTGTGAGTTGAATGCAATCATCACAAAGAAGTTTCTGACAATGCTTCTCTCTCGTCTTTCTGTGAAGATAAAGGAAAAGGCTTTCAGGCCTTTTCCACCACAGGCCTGAAATCGCTCCAAATGTCCACTTGCAGATTCTGCCAAAAGAATATTTCAAAACTGCTCTATGAAAAGCAATGTTAAACTCTGTGGCTCGAACACAAACATCACAAAGCAGTTTCTGAGAATGCTTCAGTTTAGTTTTTCTGTGGAAATATTCCCGTTTCCAAAGAAATCTTCAAAGAGGTCCACGTATCCACTTACAGATTCTACAAAAAGACAGTTTCAAAACTGCTCCATCAAAAGGAGGGTTCAACTGTGTGACTTGAATGCAATCATCACTCAGAAGTTTCTGAGAATGCTTCTCTTTAGTTTTTACGTGAACATATACCCGTTTCGAACGAAGGCCAGCCAGTGGTCCAAATATCCACTTGCAGATTCTACAGAAAGAGTGTTTCGAACCTGAACTCTCAAAGGCAGGTTCATCTCTGCGAGTTAAATGCATTCATCATGAAGAACTTTCTCAGAGTGTTTGTGTTTAGTTATGGGAAATTATTCCCGTTTCCAACGAAATCCTCAGAGAGCTCCAAATATCCACCTGCAGATTCTACCAAAAGTGTATTTGGAAACTGCTCCATCAAGAGGCATGTTCAGCTCTGTGAGTGAAACTCCATCATCACAAAGAATATTCTGAGAATGCTTCCGTTTGCCTTTTATATGAAGTTCCTTCCTATACGACCTTAGGCCTCAAAGCAGTCCAAATCTCCATTTGCAGATTCTACAAAAAGAGTGATTCCAATCTGCTCTATCAATAGGATTGTTCAACTCCATGAGTTGAATGCCATCCTCACAAAGTAGTTTCTGAGAATGCTTCTATCTAGTTTTTATGTGAAGATATTTCCTTTTCCACCACAGGCCTCAAAGCCCTCCAAACGTCCACTTGCAGATTCTCGAAAAAGAGTGTTTCATAGCTGCTCTTTCAAAAGGAAAGTTCAACTCTGGGAGTTGAATACAAACATCACAAAGTAGTTTCCGAGAATGCTTCTGTTTAGTTTTTATGTGAAGATGATCCCGTTTCCAGTGAAATCTTCAAAGAGGTCCACATATCCCCTTGCAGATTCCAAAGAAAGAGGGTTTCAAAACTGCTCCATCAGAAGGATTGTTCAACTCTGTGAGTTGAATGCAGTCATCGCAGAAAACTTTCTGAGAATGCTTCTGTCTAGGTTTGATGTGAAGATATAGACGTTTCAAACGAAGGCTACAAAGTGGTCAAAATATACACTTGCAGATTCTACTACAAGGGTGTTGCAAACCTGAACTATCAAAGGAAGGTTCAACTCTGTGAGTTGAATACAAACATCACAAAGAATGTTCTGAGTTTGCTTCCGTTCAGTTATGGGAAGTTGATCCCGTTTCCAACGAAATCCTCAGAGAGGTCCAAATATCCCCTTGCAGATTCTACAAAACGTGTGTTTGGAAACTGCTCCATCATAACGAATGTTCAGCTCCCTGAGTTAAACTCCATCGTCACAAAGAATTTTCTGAGAGTGCTACCGTCTGGTTTTTATATGAAGTTCTTTCCTTCACTACCACAGGCCTCAAAGCGGTCCAAATCTCCACTTGCAGATTCTACAAAAAGAGTGTTTGCAAACTGCTCTATCAAAAGGAATGTTCAACTCTGGGAGTTGAATGCAATCATCACAGAGCAGTTTCTGAGAATGCTTCTATGTCGTTTTTAGGAGAAGATATTTCCTTTTCCAACACAGTCCCCCAAGCCCGCTAAATAGCCACTTGCACATTGTAGAAAAAGTGTGTCAAAGCTGCGCTATCAAAGGGAAAGTTCAACTCTGTGAGGTGAATGCAAACATCCCAAAGAAGTTTCTGAGAATGCTTCCGTTTAGCTTTTAGGTGAAGATTATCCCGTTTCCAACGAAACCTTCAAAGAGGTCCAAATATCCCCTTGCGGATCCCACAGAAAGAGTGTTTCGAAACTGCTGTTTCAAAAGGAATCTTCAACTCTGTGAGTTGAATGCAATCATCACAAAGAAGTTTCTGACAATGCTTCTCTCTCGTCTTTCTGTGAAGATAAAGGAAAAGGCTTTCAGGCCTTTTCCACCACAGGCCTGAAAGCGCTCCAAATGTCCACTTGCAGATTCTGCGAAAAGAATATTTCAAAACTGCTCTATGAAAAGCAATGTTAAACTCTGTGGCTGGAACACAAACATCACAAAGCGGTTTCTGAGAATGCTTCAGTTTAGTTTTTCTGTGGAAATATTCCCGTTTCCAAAGAAATCTTCAAAGAGGTCCACGTATCCACTTACAGATTCTACAAAAAGACAGTTTCAAAACTGCTCCATCAAAAGGAGGGTTCAACTGTGTGACTTCAATGCAATCATCACTCAGAAGTTTCTGAGAATGCTTCTCTTTAGTTTTTACGTGAACATATACCCGTTTCGAACGAAGGCCACCCAGTGGTCCAAATATCCACTTGCAGATTCTACATAAAGAGTGTTTCGAACCTGAACTCTCAAAGGCAGGTTCATCTCTGCGAGTTAAATGCATTCATCATGAAGAACTTTCTCAGCGTGTTTGTGTTTAGTTATGGGAAATTATTCCCGTTTCCAACGAAATCCTCAAAGAGCTCCAAATATCCACCTGCAGATTCTACCAAAAGTGTATTTGGAAACTGCTCCATCAAAAGGCATGTTCAGCTCTGTGAGTGAAACTCCATCATCACAAAGAATATTCTGAGAATGCTTCCGTTTGCCTTTTATATGAAGTTCCTTCCTATACGACCGTAGGCCTCAAAGCAGTCCAAATCTCCATTTGCAGATTCTACAAAAAGAGTGATTCCAATCTGCTCTATCAATAGGATTGTTCAACTCCATGAGTTGAATGCCATCCTCACAAAGTAGTTTCTGAGAATGCTTCTATCTAGTTTTTATGTGAAGATATTTCCTTTTCCACCACAGGCCTCAAAGCCCTCCAAACGTCCACTTGCAGATTCTAGAAAAAGAGTGTTTCATAGCTGCTCTTTCAAAAGGAAAGTTCAACTCTGGGAGTTGAATACAAACATCACAAAGAATTTTCTGAGTTTGCTTCCGTTCAGTTATGGGAAGTTGATCCCGTTTCCAACGAAATCCTCAGAGAGGTCCAAATATCCCCTTGCAGATTCTACAAAACGTGTGTTTGGAAACTGCTCCATCATAACGAATGTTCAGCTCCCTGAGTTAAACTCCATCGTCACAAAGAATTTTCTGAGAGTGCTACCGTCTGGTTTTTATATGAAGCTCTTTCCTTCACTACCACAGGCCTCAAAGCGGTCCAAATCTCCACTTGCAGATTCTACAAAAAGAGTGTTTGCAAACTGCTCTATCAAAAGGAATGTTCAACTCTGGGAGTTGAATGCAATCATCACAGAGCAGTTTCTGAGAATGCTTCTATGTCGTTTTTAGGAGAAGATATTTCCTTTTCCAACACAGTCCTCCAAGCCCGCTAAATAGCCACTTGCACATTGTAGAAAAAGTGTGTCAAAGCTGCGCTATCAAAGGGAAAGTTCAACTCTGTGAGGTGAATGCAAACATCCCAAAGAAGTTTCTGAGAATGCTTCCGTTTAGCTTTTAGGTGAAGATTATCCCGTTTCCAACGAAACCTTCAAAGAGGTCCAAATATCCCCTTGCGGATCCCACAGAAAGAGTGTTTCGAAACTGCTGTTTCAAAAGGAATCTTCAACTCTGTGAGTTGAATGCAATCATCACAAAGAAGTTTCTGACAATGCTTCTCTCTCGTCTTTCTGTGAAGATAAAGGAAAAGGCTTTCAGGCCTTTGCCACCACAGGCCTGAAAGCGCTCCAAATGTCCACTTGCAGATTCTGCGAAAAGAATATTTCAAAACTGCTCTATGAAAAGCAATGTTAAACTCTGTGGCTCGAACACAAACATCACAAAGCGGTTTCTGAGAATGCTTCAGTTTAGTTTTTCTGTGGAAATATTCCCGTTTCCAAAGAAATCTTCAAAGAGGTCCACGTATCCACTTACAGATTCTACAAAAAGACAGTTTCAAAACTGCTCCATCAAAAGGAGGGTTCAACTGTGTGACTTGAATGCAATCATCACTCAGAAGTTTCTGAGAATGCTTCTCTTTAGTTTTTACGTGAACATATACCCGTTTCGAACGAAGGCCACCCAGTGGTCCAAATATCCACTTGCAGATTCTACAGAAAGAGTGTTTCGAACCTGAACTCTCAAAGGCAGGTTCATCTCTGCGAGTTAAATGCATTCATCATGAAGAACTTTCTCAGAGTGTTTGTGTTTAGTTATGGGAAATTATTCCCGTTTCCAATGAAATCCTCAGAGAGCTCCAAATATCCACCTGCAGATTCTACCAAAAGTGTATTTGGAAACTGCTCCATCAACAGGCATGTTCAGCTCTGTGAGTGAAACTCCATCATCACAAAGAACATTCTGAGAATGCTTCCGTTTGCCTTTTATATGAAGTTCCTTCCTATACGACCGTAGGCCTCAAAGCAGTCCAAATCTCCATTTGCAGATTCTACAAAAAGAGTGATTCCAATCTGCTCTATCAATAGGATTGTTCAACTCCATGAGTTGAATGCCATCCTCACAAAGTCGTTTCTGAGAATGCTTCTATCTAGTTTTTATGTGAAGATATTTCCTTTTCCACCACAGGCCTCAAAGCCCTCCAAACGTCCACTTGCACATTCTCGAAAAAGACTGTTTCATAGCTGCTCTTTCAAAAGGAAAGTTCAACTCTGGGAGTTGAATACAAACATCACAAAGTAGTTTCCGAGAATGCTTCTGTTTAGTTCTTATGTGAAGATGATCCCGTTTCCAGTGAAATCTTCAAAGAGGTCCACATATCCCCTTGCAGATTCCAAAGAAAGAGGGTTTCAAAACTGCTCCATCAAAAGGATTGTTCAACTCTGTGAGTTGAATGCACTCATCGCAGAAAACTTTCTGAGAATGCTTCTGTCTAGGTTTGATGTGAAGATATAGACGTTTCAAATGAAGGCTACAAAGTGGTCAAAATATACACTTGCAGATTCTACTACAAGGGTGTTGCAAACCTGAACTATCAAAGGAAGGTTCAACTCTGTGAGTTGAATACAAACATCACAAAGAATGTTCTGAGTTTGCTTCCGTTCAGTTATGGGAAGTTGATCCCGTTTCCAACGAAATCCTCAGAGAGGTCCAAATATCCCCTCACAGATTCTACAAAACTTGTGTTTGGAAACTGCTCCATCATAACGAATGTTCAGCTCCCTGAGTTAAACTCCATCGTCACAAAGAATTTTCTGAGAGTGCTACCGTCTGGTTTTTATATGAAGTTCTTTCCTTCACTACCACAGGCCTCAAAGCGGTCCAAATCTCCACTTGCAGATTCTACAAAAAGAGTGTTTGCAAACTGCTCTATCAAAAGGAATGTTCAACTCTGGGAGTTGAATGCAATCATCACAGAGCAGTTTCTGAGAATGCTTCTATGTCGTTTTTAGAAGATATTTCCTTTTCCAACACAGTCCTCCAAGCCCGCTAAATAGCCACTTGCACATTGTAGAAAAAGTGTGTCAAAGCTGCGCTATCAAAGGGAAAGTTCAACTCTGTGAGGTGAATGCAAACATCCCAAAGAAGTTTCTGAGAATGCTTCCGTTTAGCTTTTAGGTGAAGATTATTCCGTTTCCAACGAAATCTTCAAAGAGGTCTAAATATCCCCTTGCGGATCCCACAGAAAGAGTGTTTTGAAACTGCTGTTTCAAAAGGAATCTTCAACTCTGTGAGTTGAATGCAATCATCACAAAGAAGTTTCTGACAATGCTTCTCTCTCGTCTTTCTGTGAAGATAAAGGAAAAGGCTTTCAGGCCTTTTCCACCCACAGGCCTGAAAGCGCTCCAAATGTCCACTTGCAGATTCTGCGAAAAGAATATTTCAAAACTGCTCTATGAAAAGCAATGTTAAACTCTGCGGCTCGAACACAAACATCACAAAGCGGTTTCTGAGAATGCTTCAGTTTAGTTTTTCTGTGGAAATATTCCCGTTTCCAAAGAAATCTTCAAAGAGGTCCACGTATCCACTTACAGATTCTACAAAAAGACAGTTTCAAAACTGCTCCATCAAAAGGAGGGTTCAACCGTGTGACTTGAATGCAATCATCACTCAGAAGTTTCTGAGAATGCTTCTCTTTAGTTTTTACGTGAGCATATACCCGTTTCGAACGAAGGCCACCCAGTGGTCCAAATATCCACTTGCAGATTATACAGAAAGAGTGTTTCGAACCTGAACTCTCAAAGGCAGGTTCATCTCTGCGAGTTAAATGCATTCATCATGAAGAACTTTCTCAGAGTGTTTGTGTTTAGTTATGGGAAATTATTCCCGTTTCCAACGAAATCCTCAGAGAGCTCCAAATATCCACCTGCAGATTCTACCAAAAGTGTATTTGGAAACTGCTCCATCAAAAGGCATGTTCAGCTCTGTGAGTGAAACTCCATCATCACAAAGAATATTCTGAGAATGCTTCTATCTGGTTTTTGTGTGAAGATATTTCCTTTTCCACCACAGGCCTCAAAGCCCTCCAAACGTCCACTTGCAGATTCTCGAAAAAGAGTGTTTCATAGCTGCTCTTTCAAAAGGAAAGTTCAACTCTGGGAGTTGAATACAAACATCACAAAATAGTTTCCGAGAATGCTTCTGTTTAGTTTTTATGTGAAGATGATCCCGTTTCCAGTGAAATCTTCAAAGAGGTCCACATATCCCCTTGCAGATTCCAAAGAAAGAGGGTTTCAAAACTGCTCCATCAGAAGGATTGTTCAACTCTGTGAGTTGAATGCAGTCATCGCAGAAAACTTTCTGAGAATGCTTCTGTCTAGGTTTGATGTGAAGATATAGACGTTTCAAACGAAGGCTACAAAGTGGTCAAAATATACACTTGCAGATTCTACTACAAGGGTGTTGCAAACCTGAACTATCAAAGGAAGGTTCAACTCTGTGAGTTGAATACAAACATCACAAAGAATGTTCTGAGTTTGCTTCCGTTCAGTTATGGGAAGTTGATCCCGTTTCCAACGAAATCCTCAGAGAGGTCCAAATATCCCCTTGCAGATTCTACAAAACGTGTGTTTGGAAACTGCTCCATCGTAACGAATGTTCAGCTCCCTGAGTTAAACTCCATCGTCACAAAGAATTTTCTGAGAGTGCTACCGTCTGGTTTTTATATGGAGTTCTTTCCTTCACTACCACAGGCCTCAAAGCGGTCCAAATCTCCACTTGCAGATTCTACAAAAAGAGTGTTTGCAAACTGCTCTATCAAAAGGAATGTTCAACTCTGGGAGTTGAATGCAATCATCACAGAGCAGTTTCTGAGAATGCTTCTATGTCGTTTTTAGGAGAAGATATTTCCTTTTCCAACACAGTCCTCCAAGCCCGCTAAATAGCCACTTGCACATTGTAGAAAAAGTGTGTCAAAGCTGCGCTATCAAAGGGAAAGTTCAACTCTGTGAGGTGAATGCAAACATCCCAAAGAAGTTTCTGAGAATGCTTCCGTTTAGCTTTTAGGTGAAGATTATCCCGTTTCCAACGAAACCTTCAAAGAGGTCCAAATATCCCCTTGCGGATCCCACAGAAAGAGTGTTTCGAAACTGCTGTTTCAAAAGGAATCTTCAACTCTGTGAGTTGAATGCAATCATCACAAAGAAGTTTCTGACAATGCTTCTCTCTCGTCTTTCTGTGAAGATAAAGGAAAAGGCTTTCAGGCCTGTTCCACCACAGGCCTGAAAGCGCTCCAAATGTCCACTTGCAGATTCTGCGAAAAGAATATTTCAAAACTGCTCTATGAAAAGCAATGTTAAACTCTGTGGCTGGAACACAAACATCACAAAGCGGTTTCTGAGAATGTTTCAGTTTAGTTTTTCTGTGGAAATATTCCCGTTTCCAAAGAAATCTTCAAAGAGGTCCACGTATCCACTTACAGATTCTACAAAAAGACAGTTTCAAAACTGCTCCATCAAAAGGAGGGTTCAACTGTGTGACTTGAATGCAATCATCACTCAGAAGTTTCTGAGAATGCTTCTCTTTAGTTTTTACGTGAACATATACCCGTTTCGAACGAAGGCCACCCAGTGGTCCAAATATCCACTTGCAGATTCTACAGAAAGAGTGTTTCGAACCTGAACTCTCAAAGGCAGGTTCATCTCTGCGAGTTAAATGCATTCATCATGAAGAACTTTCTCAGAGTGTTTGTGTTTAGTTATGGGAAATTATTCCCGTTTCCAACGAAATCCTCAGAGAGCTCCAAATATCCACCTGCAGATTCTACCAAAAGTGTATTTGGAAACTGCTCCATCAAAAGGCATGTTCAGCTCTGTGAGTGAAACTCCATCATCACAAAGAATATTCTGAGAATGCTTCCGTTTGCCTTTTATATGAAGTTCCTTCCTGTACTACTGTAGGCCTCAAAGCAGTCCAAATCTCCATTTGCAGATTCTACAAAAAGAGTGATTCCAATCTGCTCTATCAATAGGATTGTTCAACTCCATGAGTTGAATGCCATCCTCACAAAGTAGTTTCTGAGAATGCTTCTATCTGGTTTTTGTGTGAAGATATTTCCTTTTCCACCACAGGCCTCAAAGCCCTCCAAACGTCCACTTGCAGATTCTCGAAAAAGAGTGTTTCATAGCTGCTCTTTCAAAAGGAAAGTTCAACTCTGGGAGTTGAATACAAACATCACAAAATAGTTTCCGAGAATGCTTCTGTTTAGTTTTTATGTGAAGATGATCCCGTTTCCAGTGAAATCTTCAAAGAGGTCCACATATCCCCTTGCAGATTCCAAAGAAAGAGGGTTTCAAAACTGCTCCATCAAAAGGATTGTTCAACTCTGTGAGTTGAATGCAGTCATCGCAGAAAACTTTCTGAGAATGCTTCTGTCTAGGTTTGATGTGAAGATATAGACGTTTCAAACGAAGGCTACAAAGTGGTCAAAATATACACTTGCAGATTCTACTACAAGGGTGTTGCAAACCTGAACTATCAAAGGAAGGTTCAACTCTGTGAGTTGAATACAAACATCACAAAGAATGTTCTGAGTTTGCTTCCGTTCAGTTATGGGAAGTTGATCCCGTTTCCAGCGAAATCCTCAGAGAGGTCCAAATATCCCCTTGCAGATTCTACAAAACGTGTGTTTGGAAACTGCTCCATCATAACGAATGTTCAGCTCCCTGAGTTAAACTCCATCGTCACAAAGAATTTTCTGAGAGTGCTACCGTCTGGTTTTTATATGAAGCTCTTTCCTTTACTACCCCAGTCCTCAAAGCGGTCCAAATCTCCACTTGCAGATTCTACAAAAAGAGTGTTTGCAAACTGCTCTATCAAAAGGAATGTTCAACTCTGGGAGTTGAATGCAATCATCACAGAGCAGTTTCTGAGAATGCTTCTATGTCGTTTATAGGAGAAGATATTTCCTTTTCCAACACAGTCCTCCAAGCCCGCTAAATATCCACTTGCACATTGTAGAAAAAGTGTGTCAAAGCTGCGCTATCAAAGGGAAAGTTCAACTCTGAGAGGTGAATGCAAACATCCCAAAGAAGTTTCTGAGAGTGCTTCCGTTTAGCTTTTAGGTGAAGATTATCCCGTTTCCAACGAAACCTTCAAAGAGGTCCAAATATCCCCTTGCGGATCCCACAGAAAGAGTGTTTCGAAACTGCTGTTTCAAAAGGAATCTTCAACTCTGTGAGTTGAATGCAATCATCACAAAGAAGTTTCTGACAATGCTTCTCTCTCGTCTTCCTGTGAAGATAAAGGAAAAGGCTTTCAGGCCTTTTCCACCACAGGCCTGAAAGCGCTCCAAATGTCCACTTGCAGATTCTGCCAAAAGAATATTTCAAAACTGCTCTATGAAAAGCAATGTTAAACTCTGTGGCTCGAACACAAACATCACAAAGCAGTTTCTGAGAATGCTTCAGTTTAGTTTTTCTGTGGAAATATTCCCGTTTCCAAAGAAATCTTCAAAGAGGTCCACGTATCCACTTACAGATTCTACAAAAAGACAGTTTCAAAACTGCTCCATCAAAAGGAGGGTTCAACTGTGTGACTTGAATGCAATCATCACTCAGAAGTTTCTGAGAATGCTTCTCTTTAGTTTTTACGTGAACATATACGCGTTTCGAACGAAGGCCACCCAGTGGTCCAAATATCCACTTGCAGATTCTACAGAAAGAGTGTTTCGAACCTGAACTCTCAAAGGCAGGTTCATCTCTGCGAGTTAAATGCATTCATCATGAAGAACTTTCTCAGAGTGTTTGTGTTTAGTTATGGGAAATTATTCCCGTTTCCAACGAAATCCTCAGGGAGCTCCAAATATCCACCTGCAGATTCTACCAAAAGTGTATTTGGAAACTGCTCCATCAAAAGGCATGTTCAGCTCTGTGAGTGAAACTCCATCATCACAAAGAATATTCTGAGAATGCTTCCGTTTGCCTTTTATATGAACTTCCTTCCTGTACTACCGTAGGCCTCAAAGCAGTCCAAATCTCCATTTGCAGATTCTACAAAAAGAGTGATTCCAATCTGCTCTATCAATAGGATTGTTCAACTCCATGAGTTGAATGCCATCCTCACAAAGTAGTTTCTGAGAATGCTTCTATCTGGTTTTTGTGTGAAGATATTTCCTTTTCCACCACAGGCCTCAAAGCCCTCCAAACGTCCACTTGCAGATTCTCGAAAAAGAGTGTTTCATAGCTGCTCTTTCAAAAGGAAAGTTCAACTCTGGGAGTTGAATACAAACATCACAAAATAGTTTCCAAGAATGCTTCTGTTTAGTTTTTATGTGAAGATGATCCCGTTTCCAGTGAAATCTTCAAAGAGGTCCACATATCCCCTTGCAGATTCCAAAGAAAGAGGGTTTCAAAACTGCTCCATCAAAAGGATTGTTCAACTCTGTGAGTTGAATGCAGTCATCGCAGAAAACTTTCTGAGAATGCTTCTGTCTAGGTTTGATGTGAAGATATAGACGTTTCAAACGAAGGCTACACAGTGGTCAAAATATACACTTGCAGATTCTACTACAAGGGTGTTGCAAACCTGAACTATCAAAGGAAGGTTCAACTCTGTGAGTTGAATACAAACATCACAAAGAATGTTCTGAGTTTGCTTCCGTTCAGTTATGGGAAGTTGATCCCGTTTCCAGCGAAATCCTCAGAGAGGTCCATATATCCCCTTGCAGATTCTACAAAACGTGTGTTTGGAAACTGCTCCATCATAACGAATGTTCAGCTCCCTGAGTTAAACTCCATCGTCACAAAGAATTTTCTGAGAGTGCTACCGTCTGGTTTTTATATGAAGTTCTTTCCTTTACTACCATAGGCCTCAAAGCGGTCCAAATCTCCACTTGCAGATTCTACAAAAAGAGTGTTTGCAAACTGCTCTATCAAAAGGAATGTTCAACCCTGGGAGTTGAATGCAATCATCACAGAGCAGTTTCTGAGAATGCTTCTATGTCGTTTTTAGGAGAAGATATTTCCTTTTCCAACACAGTCCTCCAAGCCCGCTAAATAGCCACTTGCACATTGTAGAAAAAGTGTGTCAAAGCTGCGCTATCGAAGGGAAAGTTCAACTCTGAGAGGTGAATGCAAACATCCCAAAGAAGTTTCTGAGAGTGCTTCCGTTTAGCTTTTAGGTGAAGATTATCCCGTTTCCAACAAAACCTTCAAAGAGGTCCAAATATCCCCTTGGGGATCCCACAGAAAGAGTGTTTCAAAACTGCTGTTTCAAAAGGAATCTTCAACTCTGTGAGTTGAATGCAATCATCACAAAGAAGTTTCTGACAATGCTTCTCTCTCGTCTTTCTGTGAAGATAAAGGAAAAGGCTTTCAGGCCTTTTCCACCACAGGCCTGAAAGCGCTCCAAATGTCCACTTGCAGATTCTGCGAAAAGAATATTTCAAAACTGCTCTATGAAAAGCAATGTTAAACTCTGTGGCTCGAACACAAACATCACAAAGCAGTTTCTGAGAATGCTTCAGTTTAGTTTTTCTGTGGAAATATTCCCGTTTCCAAAGAAATCTTCAAAGAGGTCCACGTATCCACTTACAGATTCTACAAAAAGACAGTTTCAAAACTGCTCCATCAAAAGGAGGGTTCAACTGTGTGACTTGAATGCAATCATCACTCAGAAGTTTCTGAGAATGCTTCTCTTTAGTTTTTACGTGAACATATACCCGTTTCGAACGAACGCCACCCAGTGGTCCAAATATCCACTTGCAGATTCTACAGAAAGAGTGTTTCGAACCTGAACTCTCAAAGGCAGGTTCATCTCTGCGAGTTAAATGCATTCATCATGAAGAACTTTCTCAGAGTGTTTGTGTTTAGTTATGGGAAATTATTCCCGTTTCCAACGAAATCCTCAGAGTGGTCCAAATATCCACCTGCAGATTCTACCAAAAGTGTATTTGGAATCTGCTCCATCAAAAGGCATGTTCAGCTCTGTGAGTGAAACTCCATCATCACAAAGAATATTCTGAGAATGCTTCCGTTTGCCTTTTATATGAAGTTCCTTCCTGTACTACTGTAGGCCTCAAAGCAGTCCAAATCTCCATTTGCAGATTCTACAAAAAGAGTGATTCCAATCTGCTCTATCAATAGGATTGTTCAACTCCATGAGTTGAATGCCATCCTCACAAAGTAGTTTCTGAGAATGCTTCTATCTGGTTTTTGTGTGAAGATATTTCCTTTTCCACCACAGGCCTCAAAGCCCTCCAAACGTCCACTTGCAGATTCTCGAAAAAGAGTGTTTCATAGCTGCTCTTTCAAAAGGAAAGTTCAACTCTGGGAGTTGAATACAAACATCACAAAGAATGTTCTGAGTTTGCTTCCGTTCAGTTATGGGAAGTTGATCCCGTTTCCAACGAAATCCTCAGAGAGGTCCAAATATCCCCTTGCAGATTCTACAAAGCGTGTGTTTGGAAACTGCTCCATCATAACGAATGTTCAGCTCCCTGAGTTAAACTCCATCGTCACAAAGAATTTTCTGAGAGTGCTACCGTCTGTTTTTTATATGAAGCTCTTTCCTTTACTACCCCAGTCCTCAAAGCGGTCCAAATCTCCACTTGCAGATTCTACAAAAAGAGTGTTTGCAAACTGCTCTATCAAAAGGAATGTTCAACTCTGGGAGTTGAATGCAATCATCACAGAGCAGTTTCTGAGAATGCTTCTATGTCGTTTTTAGGAGAAGATATTTCCTTTTCCAACACAGTCCTCCAAGCCCGCTAAATAGCCACTTGCACATTGTAGAAAAAGTGTGTCAAAGCTGCGCTATCAAAGGGAAAGTTCAACTCTGAGAGGTGAATGCAAACATCCCAAAGAAGTTTCTGAGAGTGCTTCCGTTTAGCTTTTAGGTGAAGATTATCCCGTTTCCAACGAAACCTTCAAAGAGGTCCAAATATCCCCTTGCGGATCCCACAGAAAGAGTGTTTCGAAACTGCTGTTTCAAAAGGAATCTTCAACTCTGTGAGTTGAATGCAATCATCACAAAGAAGTTTCTGACAATGCTTCTCTCTCGTCTTTCTGTGAAGATAAAGGAAAAGGCTTTCAGGCCTTTTCCACCACAGGCCTGAAAGCGCTCCAAATGTCCACTTGCAGATTCTGCGAAAAGAATATTTCAAAACTGCTCTATGAAAAGCAATGTTAAACTCTGTGGCTCGAACACAAACATCACAAAGCAGTTTCTGAGAATGCTTCAGTTTAGTTTTTCTGTGGAAATATTCCCGTTTCCAAAGAAATCTTCAAAGAGGTCCACGTATCCACTTACAGATTCTACAAAAAGACAGTTTCAAAACTGCTCCATCAAAAGGAGGGTTCAACTGTGTGACTTGAATGCAATCATCACTCAGAAGTTTCTGAGAATGCTTCTCTTTAGTTTTTACGTGAACATATACCCGTTTCGAACGAAGGCCACCCAGTGGTCCAAATATCCACTTGCAGATTCTACAGAAAGAGTGTTTCGAACCTGAACTCTCAAAGGCAGGTTCATCTCTGCGAGTTAAATGCATTCATCATGAAGAACTTTCTCAGAGTGTTTGTGTTTAGTTATGGGAAATTATTCCCGTTTCCAACGAAATCCTCAGAGAGCTCCAAATATCCACCTGCAGATTCTACCAAAAGTGTATTTGGAAACTGCTCCATCAAAAGGCATGTTCAGCTCTGTGAGTGAAACTCCATCATCACAAAGAATATTCTGAGAATGCTTCCGTTTGCCTTTTATATGAAGTTCCTTCCTATACGACCGTAGGCCTCAAAGCAGTCCAAATCTCCATTTGCAGATTCTACAAAAAGAGTGATTCCAATCTGCTCTATCAATAGGATTGTTCAACTCCATGAGTTGAATGCCATCCTCACAAAGTAGTTTCTGAGAATGCTTCTATCTAGTTTTATGTGAAGATATTTCCTTTTCCACCACAGGCCTCAAAGCCCTCCAAACGTCCACTTGCAGATTCTCGAAAAAGAGTGTTTCATAGCTGCTCTTTCAAAAGGAAAGTTCAACTCTGGGAGTTGAATACAAACATCACAAAGTAGTTTCCGAGAATGCTTCTGTTTAGTTTTTATGTGAAGATGATCCCGTTTCCAGTGAAATCTTCAAAGAGGTCCACATATCCCCTTGCAGATTCCAAAGAAAGAGGGTTTCAAAACTGCTCCATCAGAAGGATTGTTCAACTCTGTGAGTTGAATGCAGTCATCGCAGAAAACTTTCTGAGAATGCTTCTGTCTAGGTTTGATGTGAAGATATAGACGTTTCAAATGAAGGCTACAAAGTGGTGAAAATATACACTTGCAGATTCTACTACAAGGGTGTTGCAAACCTGAACTATCAAAGGAAGGTTCAACTCTGTGAGTTGAATACAAACATCACAAAGAATGTTCTGAGTTTGCTTCAGTTCAGTTATGGGAAGTTGATCCCGTTTCCAACGAAATCCTCAGAGAGGTCCAAATATCCCCTTGCAGATTCTACAAAACGTGTGTTTGGAAACTGCTCCATCATAACGAATGTTCAGCTCCCTGAGTTAAATTCCATCGTCACAAAGAATTTTCTGAGAGTGCTACCGTCTGGTTTTTATATGAAGTTCTTTCCTTCACTACCACAGGCCTCAAAGCGGTCCAAATCTCCACTTGCAGATTCTACAAAAAGAGTGTTTGCAAACTGCTCTATCAAAAGGAATGTTCAACTCTGGGAGTTGAATGCAATCATCACAGAGCAGTTTCTGAGAATGCTTCTATGTCGTTTTTAGGAGAAGATATTTCCTTTTCCAACACAGTCCTCCAAGCCCGCTAAATAGCCACTTGCACATTGTAGAAAAAGTGTGTCAAAGCTGCGCTATCAAAGGGAAAGTTCAACTCTGTGAGGTGAATGCAAACATCCCAAAGAAGTTTCTGAGAATGCTTCCGTTTAGCTTTTAGGTGAAGATTATCCCGTTTCCAACGAAACCTTCAAAGAGGTCCAAATATCCCCTTGCGGATCCCACAGAAAGAGTGTTTCGAAACTGCTGTTTCAAAAGGAATCTTCAACTCTGTGAGTTGAATGCAATCATCACAAAGAAGTTTCTGACAATGCTTCTCTCTCGTCTTTCTGTGAAGATAAAGGAAAAGGCTTTCAGGCCTGTTCCACCACAGGCCTGAAAGCGCTCCAAATGTCCACTTGCAGATTCTGCGAAAAGAATATTTCAAAACTGCTCTATGAAAAGCAATGTTAAACTCTGTGGCTGGAACACAAACATCACAAAGCGGTTTCTGAGAATGTTTCAGTTTAGTTTTTCTGTGGAAATATTCCCGTTTCCAAAGAAATCTTCAAAGAGGTCCACGTATCCACTTACAGATTCTACAAAAAGACAGTTTCAAAACTGCTCCATCAAAAGGAGGGTTCAACTGTGTGACTTGAATGCAATCATCACTCAGAAGTTTCTGAGAATGCTTCTCTTTAGTTTTTACGTGAACATATACCCGTTTCGAACGAAGGCCACCCAGTGGTCCAAATATCCACTTGCAGATTCTACAGAAAGAGTGTTTCGAACCTGAACTCTCAAAGGCAGGTTCATCTCTGCGAGTTAAATGCATTCATCATGAAGAACTTTCTCAGAGTGTTTGTGTTTAGTTATGGGAAATTATTCCCGTTTCCAACGAAATCCTCAGAGAGCTCCAAATATCCACCTGCAGATTCTACCAAAAGTGTATTTGGAAACTGCTCCATCAAAAGGCATATTCAGCTCTGTGAGTGAAACTCCATCATCACAAAGAATATTCTGAGAATGCTTCCGTTTGCCTTTTATATGAAGTTCCTTCCTATACGACCGTAGGCCTCAAAGCAGTCCAAATCTCCATTTGCAGATTCTACAAAAAGAGTGATTCCAATCTGCTCTATCAATAGGATTGTTCAACTCCATGAGTTGAATGCCATCCTCACAAAGTCGTTTCTGAGAATGCTTCTATCTAGTTTTTATGTGAAGATATTTCCTTTTCCACCACAGGCCTCAAAGCCCTCCAAACGTCCACTTGCAGATTCTCGAAAAAGAGTGTTTCATAGCTGCTCTTTCAAAAGGAAAGTTCAACTCTGGGAGTTGAATACAAACATCACAAAGTAGTTTCCGAGAATGCTTCTGTTTAGTTTTTATGTGAAGATGATCCCGTTTCCAGTGAAATCTTCAAAGAGGTCCACATATCCCCTTGCAGATTCCAAAGAAAGAGGGTTTCAAAACTGCTCCATCAGAAGGATTGTTCAACTCTGTGAGTTGAATGCAGTCATCGCAGAAAACTTTCTGAGAATGCTTCTGTCTAGGTTTGATGTGAAGATATAGACGTTTCAAACGAAGGCTACAAAGTGGTCAAAATATACACTTGCAGATTCTACTACAAGGGTGTTGCAAACCTGAACTATCAAAGGAAGGTTCAACTCTGTGAGTTGAATACAAACATCACAAAGAATGTTCTGAGTTTGCTTCCGTTCAGTTATGGGAAGTTGATCCCGTTTCCAACGAAATCCTCAGAGAGGTCCAAATATCCCCTTGCAGATTCTACAAAACGTGTGTTTGGAAACTGCTCCATCATAACGAATGTTCAGCTCCCTGAGTTAAACTCCATCGTCACAAAGAATTTTCTGAGAGTGCTACCGTCTAGTTTTTATATGAAGTTCTTTCCTTTACTACCACAGGCCTCAAAGCGGTCCAAATCTCCACTTGCAGATTCTACAAAAAGAGTGTCTGCAAACTGCTCTATCAAAAGGAATGTTCAACTCTGGGAGTTGAATGCAATCATCACAGAGCAGTTTCTGAGAAGGCTTCTATGTCGTTTTTAGGAGAAGATATTTCCTTTTCCAACACAGTCCTCCAAGCCCGCTAAATAGCCACTTGCACATTGTAGAAAAAGTGTGTCGAAGCTGCGCTATCAAAGGGAAAGTTCAACTCTGTGAGGTGAATGCAAACATCCCAAAGAAGTTTCTGAGAATGCTTCCGTTTAGCTTTTAGGTGAAGATTATCCCGTTTCCAACGAAACCTTCAAAGAGGTCCAAATATCCCCTTGCGGATCCCACAGAAAGAGTGTTTCGAAACTGCTGTTTCAAAAGGAATCTTCAACTCTGTGAGTTGAATGCAATCATCACAAAGAAGTTTCTGACAATGCTTCTCTCTCGTCTTTCTGTGAAGATAAAGGAAAAGGCTTTCAGGCCTTTGCCACCACAGGCCTGAAAGCGGTCCAAATGTCCACTTGCAGATTCTGCCAAAAGAATATTTCAAAACTGCTCTATGAAAAGCAATGTTAAACTCTGCGGCTCGAACACAAACATCACAAAGCGGTTTCTGAGAATGCTTCAGTTTAGTTTTTCTGTGGAAATATTCCCGTTTCCAAAGAAATCTTCAAAGAGGTCCACGTATCCACTTACAGATTCTACAAAAAGACAGTTTCAAAACTGCTCCATCAAAAGGAGGGTTCAACTGTGTGACTTCAATGCAATCATCACTCAGAAGTTTCTGAGAATGCTTCTCTTTAGTTTTTACGTGAACATATACCCGTTTCGAACGAAGGCCAGCCAGTGGTACAAATATCCACTTGCAGATTCTACAGAAAGAGTGTTTCGAACCTGAACTCTCAAAGGCAGGTTCATCTCTGCGAGTTAAATGCATTCATCATGAAGAACTTTCTCAGAGTGTTTTGTGTTTAGTTATGGGAAATTATTCCCGTTTCCAACGAAATCCTCAGAGAGCTCCAAATATCCACCTGCTGATTCTACCAAAAGTGTATTTGGAAACTGCTCCATCAAAAGGCATGTTCAGGTCTGTGAGTGAAACTCCATCATCACAAAGAATATTCTGAGAATGCTTCCGTTTGCCTTTTATATGAAGTTCCTTCCTGTACTACCGTAGGCCTCAAAGCAGTCCAAATCTCCATTTGCAGATTCTACAAAAAGAGTGATTCCAATCTGCTCTATCAATAGGATTGTTCAACTCCATGAGTTGAATGCCATCCTCACAAAGTCGTTTCTGAGAATGCTTCTATCTGGTTTTTGTGTGAAGATATTTCCTTTTCCACCACAGGCCTCAAAGCCCTCCAAACGTCCACTTGCAGATTCTCGAAAAAGAGTGTTTCATAGCTGCTCTTTCAAAAGGAAAGTTCAACTCTGGGAGTTGAATACAAACATCACAAAATAGTTTCCGAGAATGCTTCTGTTTAGTTTTTATGTGAAGATGATCCCGTTTCCAGTGAAATCTTCAAAGAGGTCCACATATCCCCTTGCAGATTCCAAAGAAAGAGGGTTTCAAAACTGCTCCATCAAAAGGATTGTTCAACTCTGTGAGTTGAATGCAGTCATCGCAGAAAACTTTCTGAGAATGCTTCTGTCTAGGTTTGATGTGAAGATATAGACGTTTCAAATGAAGGCTACAAAGTGGTCAAAATATACACTTGCAGATTCTACTACAAGGGTGTTGCAAACCTGAACTATCAAAGGAAGGTTCAACTCTGTGAGTTGAATACAAACATCACAAAGAATGTTCTGAGTTTGCTTCCGTTCAGTTATGGGAAGTTGATCCCGTTTCCAACGAAATCCTCAGAGAGGTCCAAATATCCCCTTGCAGATTCTACAAAACGTGTGTTTGGAAACTGCTCCATCATAACGAATGTTCAGCTCCCTGAGTTAAACTCCATCGTCACAAAGAATTTTCTGAGAGTGCTACCGTCTGGTTTTTATATGAAGTTCTTTCCTTCACTACCACTGGCCTCAAAGCGGTCCAAATCTCCACTTGCAGATTCTACAAAAAGAGTGTTTGCAAACTGCTCTATCAAAAGGAATGTTCAACTCTGGGAGTTGAATGCAATCATCACAGAGCAGTTTCTGAGAATGCTTCTATGTCGTTTTTAGGAGAAGATATTTCCTTTTCCAACACAGTCCTCCAAGCCCGCTAAATAGCCACTTGCACATTGTAGAAAAAGTGTGTCAAAGCTGCGCTATCAAAGGGAAAGTTCAACTCTGTGAGGTGAATGCAAACATCCCAAAGAAGTTTCTGAGAATGCTTCCGTTTAGCTTTTAGGTGAAGATTATCCCGTTTCCAACGAAACCTTCAAAGAGGTCCAAATATCCCCTTGCGGATCCCACAGAAAGAGTGTTTCGAAACTGCTGTTTCAAAAGGAATCTTCAACTCTGTGAGTTGAATGCAATCATCACAAAGAAGTTTCTGACAATGCTTCTCTCTCGTCTTTCTGTGAAGATAAAGGAAAAGGCTTTCAGGCCTTTTCCACCACAGGCCTGAAAGCGCTCCAAATGTCCACTTGCAGATTCTGCCAAAAGAATATTTCAAAACTGCTCTATGAAAAGCAATGTTAAACTCTGTGGCTCGAACACAAACATCACAAAGCAGTTTCTGAGAATGCTTCAGTTTAGTTTTTCTGTGGAAATATTCCCGTTACCAAAGAAATCTTCAAAGAGGTCCACGTATCCACTTACAGATTCTACAAAAAGACAGTTTCAAAACTGCTCCATCAAAAGGAGGGTTCAACTGTGTGACTTGAATGCAATCATCACTCAGAAGTTTCTGAGAATGCTTCTCTTTAGTTTTTACGTGAACATATACCCGTTTCGAACGAAGGCCACCCAGTGGTCCAAATATCCACTTGCAGATTCTACAGAAAGAGTGTTTCGAACCTGAACTCTCAAAGGCAGGTTCATCTCTGCGAGTTAAATGCATTCATCATGAAGAACTTTCTCAGAGTGTTTGTGTTTAGTTATGGGAAATTATTCCCGTTTCCAACGAAATCCTCAGAGAGCTCCAAATATCCACCTGCAGATTCTACCAAAAGTGTATTTGGAAACTGCTCCATCAAAAGGCATGTTCAGCTCTGTGAGTGAAACTCCATCATCACAAAGAATATTCTGAGAATGCTTCCGTTTGCCTTTTATATGAAGTTCCTTCCTATACGACCGTAGGCCTCAAAGCAGTCCAAATCTCCATTTGCAGATTCTACAAAAGAGTGATTCCAATCTGCTCTATCAATAGGATTGTTCAACTCCATGAGTTGAATGCCATCCTCACAAAGTAGTTTCTGAGAATGCTTCTATCTGGTTTTTGTGTGAAGATATTTCCTTTTCCACCACAGGCCTCAAAGCCCTCCAAACGTCCACTTGCAGATTCTCGAAAAAGAGTGTTTCATAGCTGCTCTTTCAAAAGGAAAGTTCAACTCTGGGAGTTGAATACAAACATCACAAAATAGCTTCCGAGATTGCTTCTGTTTAGTTTTTATGTGAAGATGATCCCGTTTCCAGTGAAATCTTCAAAGAGGTCCACATATCCCCTTGCAGATTCCAAAGAAAGAGGGTTTCAAAACTGCTCCATCAAAAGGATTGTTCAACTCTGTGAGTTGAATGCAGTCATCGCAGAAAACTTTCTGAGAATGCTTCTTTCTAGGTTTGATGTGAAGATATAGACGTTTCAAACGAAGGCTACAAAGTGGTCAAAATATACACTTGCAGATTCTACTACAAGGGTGTTGCAAACCTGAACTATCAAAGGAAGGTTCAACTCTGTGAGTTGAATACAAACATCACAAAGAATGTTCTGAGTTTGCTTCCGTTCAGTTATGGGAAGTTGATCCCGTTTCCAACGAAATCCTCAGAGAGGTCCAAATATCCCCTCACAGATTCTACAAAACGTGTGTTTGGAAACTGCTCCATCATAACGAATGTTCAGCTCCCTGAGTTAAACTCCATCGTCACAAAGAATTTTCTGAGAGTGCTACCGTCTGGTTTTTATATGAAGTTCTTTCCTTCACTACCACAGGCCTCAAAGCGGTCCAAATCTCCACTTGCAGATTCTACAAAAAGAGTGTTTGCAAACTGCTCTATCAAAAGGAATGTTCAACTCTGGGAGTTGAATGCAATCATCACAGAGCAGTTTCTGAGAATGCTTCTATGTCGTTTTTAGGAGAAGATATTTCCTTTTCCAACACAGTCCTCCAAGCCCGCTAAATAGCCACTTGCACATTGTAGAAAAAGTGTGTCAAAGCTGCGCTATCAAAGGGAAAGTTCAACTCTGTGAGGTGAATGCAAACATCCCAAAGAAGTTTCTGAGAATGCTTCCGTTTAGCTTTTAGGTGAAGATTATCCCGTTTCCAACGAAACCTTCAAAGAGGTCCAAATATCCCCTTGCGGATCCCACAGAAAGAGTGTTTCGAAACTGCTGTTTCAAAAGGAATCTTCAACTCTGTGAGTTGAATGCAATCATCACAAAGAAGTTTCTGACAATGCTTCTCTCTCGTCTTTCTGTGAAGATAAAGGAAAAGGCTTTCAGGCCTTTTCCACCACAGGCCTGAAAGCGCTCCAAATGTCCACTTGCAGATTCTGCCAAAAGAATATTTCAAAACTGCTCTATGAAAAGCAATGTTAAACTCTGCGGCTCGAACACAAACATCACAAAGCGGTTTCTGAGAATGCTTCAGTTTAGTTTTTCTGTGGAAATATTCCCGTTTCCAAAGAAATCTTCAAAGAGGTCCACGTATCCACTTACAGATTCTACAAAAAGACAGTTTCAAAACTGCTCCATCAAAAGGAGGGTTCAACTGTGTGACTTGAATGCAATCATCACTCAGAAGTTTCTGAGAATGCTTCTCTTTAGTTTTTACGTGAACATATACCCGTTTCGAACGAAGGCCAGCCAGTGGTCCAAATATCCACTTGCAGATTCTACAGAAAGAGTGTTTCGAACCTGAACTCTCAAAGGCAGGTTCATCTCTGCGAGTTAAATGCATTCATCATGAAGAACTTTCTCAGAGTGTTTGTGTTTAGTTATGGGAAATTATTCCCGTTTCCAACGAAATCCTCAGAGAGCTCCAAATATCCACCTGCAGATTCTACCAAAAGTGTATTTGGAAACTGCTCCATCAAAAGGCATGTTCAGCTCTGTGAGTGAAACTCCATCATCACAAAGAATATTCTGAGAATGCTTCCGTTTGCCTTTTATATGAAGTTCCTTCCTATACGACCGTAGGCCTCAAAGCAGTCCAAATCTCCATTTGCAGATTCTACAAAAAGAGTGATTCCAATCTGCTCTATCAATAGGATTGTTCAACTCCATGAGTTGAATGCCATCCTCACAAAGTCGTTTCTGAGAATGCTTCTATCTAGTTTTTATGTGAAGATATTTCCTTTTCCACCACAGGCCTCAAAGCCCTCCAAACGTCCACTTGCAGATTCTCGAAAAAGAGTGTTTCATAGCTGCTCTTTCAAAAGGAAAGTTCAACTCTGGGAGTTGAATACAAACATCACAAAGTAGTTTCCGAGAATGCTTCTGTTTAGTTTTTATGTGAAGATGATCCCGTTTCCAGTGAAATCTTCAAAGAGGTCCACATATCCCCTTGCAGATTCCAAAGAAAGAGGGTTTCAAAACTGCTCCATCAGAAGGATTGTTCAACTCTGTGAGTTGAATGCAGTCATCGCAGAAAACTTTCTGAGAATGCTTCTGTCTAGGTTTGATGTGAAGATATAGACGTTTCAAACGAAGGCTACAAAGTGGTCAAAATATACACTTGCAGATTCTACTACAAGGGTGTTGCAAACCTGAACTATCAAAGGAAGGTTCAACTCTGTGAGTTGAATACAAACATCACAAAGAATGTTCTGAGTTTGCTTCCGTTCAGTTATGGGAAGTTGATCCCGTTTCCAACGAAATCCTCAGAGAGGTCCAAATATCCCCTTGCAGATTCTACAAAACGTGTGTTTGGAAACTGCTCCATCATAACGAATGTTCAGCTCCCTGAGTTAAACTCCATCGTCACAAAGAATTTTCTGAGAGTGCTACCGTCTGGTTTTTATATGAAGCTCTTTCCTTCACTACCACAGGCCTCAAAGCGGTCCAAATCTCCACTTCCAGATTCTACAAAAAGAGTGTTTGCAAACTGCTCTATCAAAAGGAATGTTCAACTCTGGGAGTTGAATGCAATCATCACAGAGCAGTTTCTGAGAATGCTTCTATGTCGTTTTTAGGAGAAGATATTTCCTTTTCCAACACAGTCCTCCAAGCCCGCTAAATAGCCACTTGCACATTGTAGAAAAAGTGTGTCAAAGCTGCGCTATCAAAGGGAAAGTTCAACTCTGTGAGGTGAATGCAAACATCCCAAAGAAGTTTCTGAGAATGCTTCCGTTTAGCTTTTAGGTGAAGATTATCCCGTTTCCAACGAAACCTTCAAAGAGGTCCAAATATCCCCTTGCGGATCCCACAGAAAGAGTGTTTCGAAACTGCTGTTTCAAAAGGAATCTTCAACTCTGTGAGTTGAATGCAATCATCACAAAGAAGTTTCTGACAATGCTTCTCTCTCGTCTTTCTGTGAAGATAAAGGAAAAGGCTTTCAGGCCTTTTCCACCACAGGCCTGAAAGCGCTCCAAATGTCCACTTGCAGATTCTGCCAAAAGAATATTTCAAAACTGCTCTATGAAAAGCAATGTTAAACTCTGTGGCTCGAACACAAACATCACAAAGCAGTTTCTGAGAATGCTTCAGTTTAGTTTTTCTGTGGAAATATTCCCGTTTCCAAAGAAATCTTCAAAGAGGTCCACGTATCCACTTACAGATTCTACAAAAAGACAGTTTCAAAACTGCTCCATCAAAAGGAGGGTTCAACTGTGTGACTTGAATGCAATCATCACTCAGAAGTTTCTGAGAATGCTTCTCTTTAGTTTTTACGTGAACATATACCCGTTTCGAACGAAGGCCAGCCAGTGGTCCAAATATCCACTTGCAGATTCTACAGAAAGAGTGTTTCGAACCTGAACTCTCAAAGGCAGGTTCATCTCTGCGAGTTAAATGCATTCATCATGAAGAACTTTCTCAGAGTGTTTGTGTTTAGTTATGGGAAATTATTCCCGTTTCCAAAGAAATCCTCAGAGAGCTCCAAATATCCACCTGCAGATTGTACCAAAAGTGTATTTGGAAACTGCTCCATGAAAAGGCATGTTCAGCTCTGTGAGTGAAACTCCGTCATCACAAAGAATATTCTGAGACTGCTTCCGTTTGCCTTTTATATGAAGTTCCTTCCTATACTACCGTAGGCCTCAAAGCAGTCCAAATCTCCATTTGCAGATTCTACAAAAAGAGTGATTCCAATCTGCTCTATCAATAGGATTGTTCAACTCCATGAGTTGAATGCCATCCTCACAAAGTAGTTTCTGAGAATGCTTCTATCTGGTTTTTGTGTGAAGATATTTCCTTTTCCACCACAGGCCTCAAAGCCCTCCAAACGTCCACTTGCAGATTCTCGAAAAAGAGTGTTTCATAGCTGCTCTTTCAAAAGGAAAGTTCAACTCTGGGAGTTGAATACAAACATCACAAAGTAGTTTCCGAGAATGCTTCTGTTTAGTTTTTATGTGAAGATGATCCCGTTTCCAGTGAAATCTTCAAAGAGGTCCACATATCCCCTTGCAGATTCCAAAGAAAGAGGGTTTCAAAACTGCTCCATCAGAAGGATTGTTCAACTCTGTGAGTTGAATGCAGTCATCGCAGAAAACTTTCTGAGAATGCTTCTGGCTAGGTTTGATGTGAAGATATAGACGTTTCAAACGAAGGCTACAAAGTGGTCAAAATATACACTTGCAGATTCTACTACAAGGGTGTTGCAAACCTGAACTATCAAAGGAAGGTTCAACTCTGTGAGTTGAATACAAACATCACAAAGAATGTTCTGAGTTTGCTTCCGTTCAGTTATGGGAAGTTGATCCCGTTTCCAACGAAATCCTCAGAGAGGTCCAAATATCCCCTCGCAGATTCTACAAAACGTGTGTTTGGAAACTGCTCCATCATAACGAATGTTCAGCTCCCTGAGTTAAACTCCATCGTCACAAAGAATTTTCTGAGAGTGCTACCGTCTGGTTTTTATATGAAGTTCTTTCGTTCACTACCACAGGCCTCAAAGCGGTCCAAATCTCCACTTGCAGATTCTACAAAAAGAGTGTTTGCAAACTGCTCTATCAAAAGGAATGTTCAACTCTGGGAGTTGAATGCAATCATCACAGAGCAGTTTCTGAGAATGCTTCTATGTCGTTTTTAGAAGATATTTCCTTTTCCAACACAGTCCTCCAAGCCCGCTAAATAGCCACTTGCACATTGTAGAAAAAGTGTGTCAAAGCTGCGCTATCAAAGGGAAAGTTCAACTCTGTGAGGTGAATGCAAACATCCCAAAGAAGTTTCTGAGAATGCTTCCGTTTAGCTTTTAGGTGAAGATTATCCCGTTTCCAACGAAACCTTCAAAGAGGTCCAAATATCCCCTTGCGGATCCCACAGAAAGAGTGTTTCGAAACTGCTGTTTCAAAAGGAATCTTCAACTCTGTGAGTTGAATGCAATCATCACAAAGAAGTTTCTGACAATGCTTCTCTCTCGTCTTTCTGTGAAGATAAAGGAAAAGGCTTTCAGGCCTTTTCCACCACAGGCCTGAAAGCGCTCCAAATGTCCACTTGCAGATTCTGCGAAAAGAATATTTCAAAACTGCTCTATGAAAAGCAATGTTAAACTCTGTGGCTCGAACACAAACATCACAAAGCGGTTTCTGAGAATGCTTCAGTTTAGTTTTTCTGTGGAAATATTCCCGTTTCCAAAGAAATCTTCAAAGAGGTCCACGTATCCACTTACAGATTCTACAAAAAGACAGTTTCAAAACTGCTCCATCAAAAGGAGGGTTCAACCGTGTGACTTGAATGCAATCATCACTCAGAAGTTTCTGAGAATGCTTCTCTTTAGTTTTTACGTGAACATATACCCGTTTCGAACGAAGGCCACCCAGTGGTCCAAATATCCACTTGCAGATTATACAGAAAGAGTGTTTCGAACCTGAACTCTCAAAGGCAGGTTCATCTCTGCGAGTTAAATGCATTCATCATGAAGAACTTTCTCAGAGTGTTTGTGTTTAGTTATGGGAAATTATTCCCGTTTCCAACGAAATCCTCAGAGAGCTCCAAATATCCACCTGCAGATTCTACCAAAAGTGTATTTGGAAACTGCTCCATCAAAAGGCATGTTCAGCTCTGTGAGTGAAACTCCATCATCACAAAGAATATTCTGAGAATGCTTCCGTTTGCCTTTTATATGAAGTTCCTTCCTGTACTACCGTAGGCCTCAAAGCAGTCCAAATCTCCATTTGCAGATTCTACAAAAAGAGTGATTCCAATCTGCTCTATCAATAGGATTGTTCAACTCCATGAGTTGAATGCCATCCTCACAAAGTAGTTTCTGAGAATGCTTCTATCTAGTTTTTATGTGAAGATATTTCCTTTTCCACCACAGGCCTCAAAGCCTTCCAAACGTCCACTTGCAGATTCTCGAAAAAGAGTGTTTCATAGCTGCTCTTTCAAAAGGAAAGTTCAACTCTGGGAGTTGAATACAAACATCACAAAGTAGTTTCCGAGAATGCTTCTGTTTAGTTCTTATGTGAAGATGATCCCGTTTCCAGTGAAACCTTCAAAGAGGTCCACATATCCCCTTGCAGATTCCAAAGAAAGAGGGGTTCAAAACTGCTCCATCAAAAGGATTGTTCAACTCTGTGAGTTGAATGCAGTCATCGCAGAAAACTTTCTGAGAATGCTTCTGTCTAGGTTTGATGTGAAGATATAGACGTTTCAAACGAACGCTACAAAGTGGTCAAAATATACACTTGCAGATTCTACTACAAGGGTGATGCAAACCTGAACTATCAAAGGAAGGTTCAACTCTGTGAGTTGAATACAAACATCACAAAGAATGTTCTGAGTTTGCTTCCGTTCAGCTATGGGAAGTTGATCCCGTTTCCAACGAAATCCTCAGAGAGGTCCAAATATCCCCTTGCAGATTCTACAAAACCTGTGTTTGGAAACTGCTCCATCATAACGAATGTTCAGCTCTCTGAGTTAAACTCCATCGTCACAAAGAATTTTCTGAGGGTGCTACCGTCTAGTTTTTATATGAAGTTCTTTCCTTTACTACCACAGGCCTCAAAGCGGTCCAAATCTCCACTTGCAGATTCTACAAAAAGAGTGTTTGCAAACTGCTCTATCAAAAGGAATGTTCAACTCTGGGAGTTGAATGCAATCATCACAGAGCAGTTTCTGAGAATGCTTCTATGTCGTTTTTAGGAGAAGATATTTCCTTTTCCAACACAGTCCTCCAAGCCCGCTAAATATCCACTTGCACATTGTAGAAAAAGTGTGTCAAAGCTGCGCTATCAAAGGGAAAGTTCAACTCTGTGAGGTGAATGCAAACATCCCAAAGAAGTTTCTGAGAATGCTTCCGTTTAGCTTTTAGGTGAAGATTATCCCGTTTCCAACGAAATCTTCAAAGAGGTCCAAATATCCCCTTGCGGATCCCACAGAAAGAGTGTTTCGAAACTGCTGTTTCAAAAGGAATCTTCAACTCTGTGAGTTGAATGCAATGATCACAAAGAAGTTTCTGACAATGCTTCTCTCTCGTCTTTCTGTGAAGATAAAGGAAAAGGCTTTCAGGCCTTTTCCACCACAGGCCTGAAAGCACTCCAAATGTCCACTTGCAGATTCTGCCAAAAGAATATTTCAAAACTGCTCTATGAAAAGCAATGTTAAACTCTGTGGCTCGAACACAAACATCACAAAGCAGTTTCTGAGAATGCTTCAGTTTAGTTTTTCTGTGGAAATATTCCCGTTTCCAAAGAAATCTTCAAAGAGGTCCACGCATCCACTTACAGATTCTACAAAAAGACAGTTTCAAAACTGCTCAATCAAAAGGAGGGTTCAACTGTGTGACTTGAATGCAATCATCACTCAGAAGTTTCTGAGAACGCTTCTCTTTAGTTTTTACGTGAACATATACCCGTTTCGAACGAAGGCCAGCCAGTGGTCCAAATATCCACTTGCAGATTCTACAGAAAGAGTGTTTCGAACCTGAACTCTCAAAGGCAGGTTCATCTCTGCGAGTTAAATGCATTCATCATGAAGAACTTTCTCAGAGTGTTTGTGTTTAGTTATGGGAAATTATTCCCGTTACCAAAGAAATCCGCAGAGAGGTCCAAATATCCACCTGCAGATTCTACCAAAAGTGTATTTGGAAACTGCTCCATCAAAAGGCATGTTCAGCTCTGTGAGTGAAACTCCATCGTCACAAAGAATATTCTGAGAATGCTTCCGTTTGCCTTTTATATGAAGTACCTTCCTATACTACCGTAGGCCTCAAAGCAGTCCAAATCTCCATTTGCAGATTCTACAAAAAGAGTGATTCCAATCTGCTCTATCAATAGGATTGTTCAACTCCATGAGTTGAATGCCATCCTCACAAAGTCGTTTCTGAGAATGCTTCTATCTAGTTTTTATGTGAAGATATTTCCTTTTCCACCACAGGCCTCAAAGCCCTCCAAACGTCCACTTGCAGATTCTCGAAAAAGAGTGTTTCATAGCTGCTCTTTCAAAAGGAAAGTTCAACTCTGCGAGTTGAATACAAACATCACAAAGTAGTTTCCGAGAATGCTTCTGTTTAGTTCTTATGTGAAGATGATCCCGTTTCCAGTGAAATCTTCAAAGAGGTCCACATATCCCCTTGCAGATTCCAAAGAAAGAGGGATTCAAAACTGCTCCATCAAAAGGATTGTTCAACTCTGTGAGTTGAATGCTGTCATCGCAGAAAACTTTCTGAGAATGCTTCTGTCTAGGTTTGAGGTGAAGATATAGACGTTTCAAACGAAGGCTACAAAGTGGTCAAAATATACACTTGCAGATTCTACTACAAGGGTGTTGCAAACCTGAACTATCAAAGGAAGGTTCAACTCTGTGAGTTGAATACAAACATCACAAAGAATGTTCTGAGTTTGCTTCCGTTCAGTTATGGGAAGTTGATCCCGTTCCCAACGAAATCCTCAGAGAGGACCAAATATCCCCTTGCAGATTCTACAAAACGTGTGTTTGGAAACTGCTCCATCATAACGAATGTTCAGCTCTCTGAGTTAAACTCCATCGTCACAAAGAATTTTCTGAGAGTGCTACCGTCTGGTTTTTATATGAAGTTCTTCCCTTTACTACCACAGGCCTCAAAGCGGTCCAAATCTCCACTTGCAGATTCTACAAAAAGAGTGTTTGCAAACTGCTCTATCAAAAGGAATGTTCAACTCTGGGAGTTGAATGCAATCATCACAGAGCAGTTTCTGAGAATGCTTCTATGTCGTTTTTAGGAGAAGATATTTCCTTTTCCAACACAGTCCTCCAAGCCCGCTAAATATCCACTTGCACATTGTAAAAAAAGTGTGTCGAAGCTGCGCTATCAAAGGGAAAGTTCAACTCTGTGAGGTGAATGCAAACATCCCAAAGAAGTTTCTGAGAATGCTTCCGTTTAGCTTTTAGGTGAAGATTATCCCGTTTCCAACGAAATCTTCAAAGAGGTCCAAATATCCCCTTGCGGATCCCACAGAAAGAGTGTTTTGAAACTGCTGTTTCAGAAGGAATCTTCAACTCTGTGAGTTGAATGCAATCATCACAAAGAAGTTTCTGACAATGCTTCTCTCTCGTCTTTCTGTGAAGATAAAGGAAAAGGCTTTCAGGCCTTTTCCACCACAGGCCTGAAAGCGCTCCAAATGTCCACTTGCAGATTCTGCCAAAAGAATATTTCAAAACTGCTCTATGAAAAGCAATGTTAAACTCTGTGGCTCGAACACAAACATCACAAAGCAGTTTCTGAGAATGATTCAGTTTAGTTTTTCTGTGGAAATATTCCCGTTTCCAAAGAAATCTTCAAAGAGGTCCACGCATCCACTTACAGATTCTACAAAAAGACAGTTTCAAAACTGCTCAATCAAAAGGAGGGTTCAACTGTGTGACTTGAATGCAATCATCACTCAGAAGTTTCTGAGAATGCTTCTCTTTAGTTTTTACGTGAACATATACCCGTTTCGAACGAAGGCCACCCAGTGGTCCAAATATCCACTTGCAGACTCTACAGAAAGAGTGTTTCGAACCTGAACTCTCAAAGGCAGGTTCATCTCTGCGAGTTAAATGCATTCATCATGAAGAACTTTCTCAGCGTGTTTGTGTTTAGTTATTGGAAATTATTCCCGTTTCCAACGAAATCCTCAGAGAGGTCCAAATATCCACCTGTAGATTCTACCAAAAGTGTATTTGGAAACTGCTCCATCAAAAGGAATGTTCAGCTCTGTGAGTGAAACTCCATCATCACAAAGAATATTCTGAGAATGCTTCCATTTGCCTTTTATATGAAGTTCCTTCCTATACTACCGTAGGCCTCAAAGCAGTCCAAATCTCCATTTGCAGATTCTACAAAAATAGTGATTCCAATCTGCTCTATCAATAGGACTGTTCAACTCCATGAGTTGAATGCCATCCTCACAAAGTAGTTTCTGAGAATGTTTCTATCTAGTTTTTATGTGAAGATATTTCCTTTTCCACCACAGGCCTCAAAGCCCTCCAAACGTCCACTTGCAGATTCTCGAAAAAGAGTGTTTCATAGCTGCTCTTTCAAAAGGAAAGTTCAACTCTGGGAGCTGAATACAAACATCACAAAGTAGTTTCCGAGAATGCTTCTGTTTAGTTCTTATGTGAAGATGATCCCGTTTCCAGTGAAATCTTCAAAGAGGTCCACATATCCCCTTGCAGATTCCAAAGAAAGAGGGTTTCAAAACTGCTCCATCAAAAGGATTGTTCAACTCTGTGAGTTGAATGCAGTCATCGCAGAAAACTTTCTGAGAATGCTTCTGTCTAGGTTAGATGTGAAGATATAGACGTTTCAAACGAAGGCTACAAAGTGGTCAAAATATACACTTGCAGATTCTACTACAAGGGTGATGCAAACCTGAACTATCAAAGGAAGGTTCAACTCTGTGAGTTGAATACAAACATCACAAAGAATGTTCTGAGTTTGCTTCCGTTCAGTTATGGGAAGTTGATCCCGTTTCCAACGAAATCCTCAGAGAGGTCCAAATATCCCCTTGCAGATTCTACAAAACGTGTGTTTGGAAACTGCTCCATCATAACGAATGTTCAGCTCTCTGAGTTAAACTCCATCGTCACAAAGAATTTTCTGAGAGTGCTACCGTCTAGTTTTATATGAAGTTCTTTCCTTTACTACCACAGGCCTCAAAGCGGTCCAAATCTCCACTTGCAGATTCTACAAAAAGAGTGTTTGCAAACTGCTCTATCAAAAGGAATGTTCAACTCTGGGAGTTGAATGCAATCATCACAGAGCAGTTTCTGAGAATGCTTCTATGTCGTTTTTAGGAGAAGATATTTCCTTTTCCAACACAGTCCTCCAAGCCCGCTAAATATCCACTTGCACATTGTAGAAAAAGTGTGTCGAAGCTGCGCTATCAAAGGGAAAGTTCAACTCTGTGAGGTGAATGCAAACATCCCAAAGAAGTTTCTGAGAATGCTTCCGTTTTGCTTTAAGTGAAGATTATCCCGTTTCCAACGAAATCTTCAAAGAGGTCCAAATATCCCCTTGCGGATCCCACAGAAAGAGTGTTTCGAAACTGCTGTTTCAAAAGGAATCTTCAACTCTGTGAGTTGAATGCAATCATCACAAAGAAGTTTCTGACAATGCTTCTCTCTCGTCTTTCTGTGAAGATAAAGGAAAAGGCTTTCAGGCCATTTCCACCACAGGCCTGAAAGCGCTCCAAATGTCCACTTGCAGATTCTGCCAAAAGAATATTTCAAAACTGCTCTATGAAAAGCAATGTTAAACTCTGCGGCTCGAACACAAACATCACAAAGCAGTTTCTGAGAATGCTTCAGTTTAGTTTTTCTGTGGAAATATTCCCGTTTCCAAAGAAATCTTCAAAGAGGTCCACACATCCACTTACAGATTCTACAAAAAGACAGTTTCAAAACTGCTCAATCAAAAGGAGGGTTCAACTGTGTGACTTGAATGCATTCATCACTCAGAAGTTTCTGAGAACGCTTCTCTTTAGTTTTTACGTGAACATATACCCGTTTCGAACGAAGGCCAGCCAGTGGTCCAAATATCCACTTGCAGATTCTACAGAAAGAGTGTTTTGAACCTGAACTCTCAAAGGCAGGTTCATCTCTGCGAGTTAAATGCATTCATCATGAAGAACTTTCTCAGCGTGTTTGTGTTTAGTTATGGGAAATTATTCCCGTTTCCAACGAAATCCTCAGAGAGCTCCAAATATCCACCTGCAGATTCTACCAAAAGTGTATTTGGAAACTGCTCCATGAAAAGGCATGTTCAGCTCTGTGAGTGAAACTCCGTCATCACAAAGAATATTCTGAGAATGCTTCCGTTTGCTTTTTATATGAAGTTCCTTCCTATACTACCGTAGGCCTCAAAGCAGTCCAAATCTCCATTTACAGATTCTACAAAAAGAGTGTTTCCAATCTGCTCTATCAATAGGATTGTTCAACTCCGTGAGTTGAATGCCATCCTCACAAAGTAGTTTCTGAGAATGCTTCTATCTAGTTTTTATGTGAAGATATTTCCTTTTCCACCACAGGCCTCAAAGCCCTCCAAAAGTCCACTTGCAGATTCTCGAAAAAGAGTGTTTCATAGCTGCTCTTTCAAAAGGAAATTTCAACTCTGGGAGTTGAATACAAACATCACAAAGAATGTTCTGAGTTTGCTTCCGTTCAGTTATGGGAAGTTGATCCCGTTTCCAACGAAATCCTCAGAGAGGTCCAAATATCCCCTTGCAGATTCTACAAAACGTGTGTTCGGAAACTGCTCCATCATAACGAATGTTCAGCTCCCTGAGTTAAACTCCATCGTCACAAAGAATTTTCTGAGAGTGCTACCGTCTGGTTTTTATATGAAGTTCTTTCCTTCACTACCACAGGCCTCAAAGCGGTCCAAATCTCCACTTGCAGATTCTACAAAAAGAGTGTTTGCAAACTGCTCTATCAAAAGGAATGTTCAACTCTGGGAGTTGAATGCAATCATCACAGAGCAGTTTCTGAGAATGCTTCTATGTCGTTTTTAGGAGAAGATATTTCCTTTTCCAACACAGTCCCCCAAGCCCGCTAAATAGCCACTTGCACATTGTAGAAAAAGTGTGTCAAAGCTGCGCTATCAAAGGGAAAGTTCAACTCTGTGAGGTGAATGCAAACATCCCAAAGAAGTTTCTGAGAATGCTTCCGTTTAGCTTTTAGGTGAAGATTATCCCGTTTCCAACGAAACCTTCAAAGAGGTCCAAATATCCCCTTGCGGATCCCACAGAAAGAGTGTTTCGAAACTGCTGTTTCAAAAGGAATCTTCAACTCTGTGAGTTGAATGCAATCATCACAAAGAAGTTTCTGACAATGCTTCTCTCTCGTCTTTCTGTGAAGATAAAGGAAAAGGCTTTCAGGCCTTTGCCACCACAGGCCTGAAAGCGCTCCAAATGTCCACTTGCAGATTCTGCGAAAAGAATATTTCAAAACTGCTCTATGAAAAGCAATGTTAAACTCTGTGGCTCGAACACAAACATCACAAAGCAGTTTCTGAGAATGCTTCAGTTTAGTTTTTCTGTGGAAATATTCCCGTTTCCAAAGAAATCTTCAAAGAGGTCCACGCATCCACTTACAGATTCTACAAAAAGACAGTTTCAAAACTGCTCCATCAAAAGGAGGGTTCAACTGTGTGACTTGAATGCAATCATCACTCAGAAGTTTCTGAGAATGCTTCTCTTTAGTTTTTACGTGAACATATACCCGTTTCGAACGAAGGCCACCCAGTGGTCCAAATATCCACTTGCAGATTATACAGAAAGAGTGTTTCGAACCTGAACTCTCAAAGGCAGGTTCATCTCTGCGAGTTAAATGCATTCATCATGAAGAACTTTCTCAGAGTGTTTGTGTTTAGTTATGGGAAATTATTCCCGTTTCCAACGAAATCCTCAGAGAGCTCCAAATATCCACCTGCAGATTCTACCAAAAGTGTATTTGGAAACTGCTCCATCAAAAGGCATGTTCAGCTCTGTGAGTGAAACTCCATCATCACAAAGAATATTCTGAGAATGCTTCCGTTTGCCTTTTATATGAAGTTCCTTCCTGTACTACCGTAGGCCTCAAAGCAGTCCAAATCTCCATTTGCAGATTCTATAAAAAGAGTGATTCCAATCTGCTCTATCAATAGGATTGTTCAACTCCATGAGTTGAATGCCATCCTCACAAAGTAGTTTCTGAGAATGCTTCTATCTGGTTTTTGTGTGAAGATATTTCCTTTTCCACCACAGGCCTCAAAGCCCTCCAAACGTCCACTTGCAGATTCTCGAAAAAGAGTGTTTCATAGCTGCTCTTTCAAAAGGAAAGTTCAACTCTGGGAGTTGAATACAAACATCACAAAATAGTTTCCGAGAATGCTTCTGTTTAGTTTTTATGTGAAGATGATCCCGTTTCCAGTGAAATCTTCAAAGAGGTCCACATATCCCCTTGCAGATTCCAAAGAAAGAGGGTTTCAAAACTGCTCCATCAGAGGATTGTTCAACTCTGTGAGTTGAATGCAGTCATCGCAGAAAACTTTCTGAGAATGCTTCTGTCTAGGTTTGATGTGAAGATATAGACGTTTCAAACGAAGGCTACAAAGTGGTCAAAATATACACTTGCAGATGCTACTACAAGGGTGTTGCAAACCTGAACTATCAAAGGAAGGTTCAACTCTGTGAGTTGAATACAAACATCACAAAGAATGTTCTGAGTTTGCTTCCGTTCAGTTATGGGAAGTTGATCCCGTTTCCAACGAAATCCTCAGAGAGGTCCAAATATCCCCTTGCAGATTCTACAAAACGTGTGTTTGGAAACTGCTCCATCATAACGAATGTTCAGCTCCCTGAGTTAAACTCCATCGTCACAAAGAATTTTCTGAGAGTGCTACCGTCTGGTTTTTATATGAAGCTCTTTCCTTCACTACCACAGGCCTCAAAGCGGTCCAAATCTCCACTTGCAGATTCTACAAAAAGAGTGTTTGCAAACTGCTCTATCAAAAGGAATGTTCAACTCTGGGAGTTGAATGCAATCATCACAGAGCAGTTTCTGAGAATGCTTCTATGTCGTTTTTAGGAGAAGATATTTCCTTTTCCAACACAGTCCTCCAAGCCCGCTAAATAGCCACTTGCACATTGTAGAAAAAGTGTGTCAAAGCTGCGCTATCAAAGGGAAAGTTCAACTCTGTGAGGTGAATGCAAACATCCCAAAGAAGTTTCTGAGAATGCTTCCGTTTAGCTTTTAGGTGAAGATTATCCCGTTTCCAACGAAACCTTCAAAGAGGTCCAAATATCCCCTTGCGGATCCCACAGAAAGAGTGTTTCGAAACTGCTGTTTCAAAAGGAATCTTCAACTCTGTGAGTTGAATGCAATCATCACAAAGAAGTTTCTGACAATGCTTCTCTCTCGTCTTTCTGTGAAGATAAAGGAAAAGGCTTTCAGGCCTTTTCCACCACAGGCCTGAAAGCGCTCCAAATGTCCACTTGCAGATTCTGCGAAAAGAATATTTCAAAACTGCTCTATGAAAAGCAATGTTAAACTCTGTGGCTCGAACACAAACATCACAAAGCAGTTTCTGAGAATGCTTCAGTTTAGTTTTTCTGTGGAAATATTCCCGTTTCCAAAGAAATCTTCAAAGAGGTCCACGTATCCACTTACAGATTCTACAAAAAGACAGTTTCAAAACTGCTCCATCAAAAGGAGGGTTCAACTGTGTGACTTGAATGCAATCATCACTCAGAAGTTTCTGAGAATGCTTCTCTTTAGTTTTTACGTGAACATATACCCGTTTCGAACGAAGGCCACCCAGTGGTCCAAATATCCACTTGCAGATTCTACAGAAAGAGTGTTTCGAACCTGAACTCTCAAAGGCAGGTTCATCTCTGCGAGTTAAATGCATTCATCATGAAGAACTTTCTCAGAGTGTTTGTGTTTAGTTATGGGAAATTATTCCCGTTTCCAACGAAATCCTCAGAGAGCTCCAAATATCCACCTGCTGATTCTACCAAAAGTGTATTTGGAAACTGCTCCATCAAAAGGCATGTTCAGCTCTGTGAGTGAAACTCCATCATCACAAAGAATATTCTGAGAATGCTTCCGTTTGCCTTTTATATGAAGTTCCTTCCTGTACTACCGTAGGCCTCAAAGCAGTCCAAATCTCCATTTGCAGATTCTATGAAAAGAGTGATTCCAATCTGCTCTATCAATAGGATTGTTCAACTCCATGAGTTGAATGCCATCCTCACAAAGTAGTTTCTGAGAATGCTTCTATCTGGTTTTTGTGTGAAGATATTTCCTTTTCCACCACAGGCCTCAAAGCCCTCCAAACGTCCACTTGCAGATTCTCGAAAAAGAGTGTTTCATAGCTGCTCTTTCAAAAGGAAAGTTCAACTCTGGGAGTTGAATACAAACATCACAAAGTAGTTTCCGAGAATGCTTCTGTTTAGTTTTTATGTGAAGATGATCCCGTTTCCAGTGAAATCTTCAAAGAGGTCCACATATCCCCTTGCAGATTCCAAAGAAAGAGGGTTTCAAAACTGCTCCATCAGAAGGATTGTTCAACTCTGTGAGTTGAATGCAGTCATCGCAGAAAACTTTCTGAGAATGCTTCTGTCTAGGTTTGATGTGAAGATATAGACGTTTCAAACGAAGGCTACAAAGTGGTCAAAATATACACTTGCAGATTCTACTACAAGGGTGTTGCAAACCTGAACTATCAAAGGAAGGTTCAACTCTGTGAGTTGAATACAAACATCACAAAGAATGTTCTGAGTTTGCCTTCCGTTCAGTTATGGGAAGTTGATCCCGTTTCCAACGAAATCCTCAGAGAGGTCCAAATATCCCCTTGCAGATTCTACAAAACGTGTGTTTGGAAACTGCTCCATCATAACGAATGTTCAGCTCCCTGAGTTAAACTCCATCGTCACAAAGAATTTTCTGAGAGTGCTACCGTCTGGTTTTTATATGAAGCTCTTTCCTTCACTACCACAGACCTCAAAGCGGTCCAAATCTCCACTTGCAGATTCTACAAAAAGAGTGTTTGCCAACTGCTCTATCAAAAGGAATGTTCAACTCTGGGAGTTGAATGCAATCATCACAGAGCAGTTTCTGAGAATGCTTCTATGTCGTTTTTAGGAGAAGATATTTCCTTTTCCAACACAGTCCTCCAAGCCCGCTAAATAGCCACTTGCACATTGTAGAAAAAGTGTGTCAAAGCTGCGCTATCAAAGGGAAAGTTCAACTCTGTGAGGTGAATGCAAACATCCCAAAGAAGTTTCTGAGAATGCTTCCGTTTAGCTTTTAGGTGAAGATTATCCCGTTTCCAACGAAACCTTCAAAGAGGTCCAAATATCCCCTTGCGGATCCCACAGAAAGAGTGTTTCGAAACTGCTGTTTCAAAAGGAATCTTCAACTCTGTGAGTTGAATGCAATCATCACAAAGAAGTTTCTGACAATGCTTCTCTCTCGTCTTTCTGTGAAGGTAAAGGAAAAGGCTTTCAGGCCTTTTCCACCACAGGCCTGAAAGCGCTCCAAATGTCCACTTGCAGATTCTGCCAAAAGAATATTTCAAAACTGCTCTATGAAAAGCAATGTTAAACTCTGTGGCTCGAACACAAACATCACAAAGCGGTTTCTGAGAATGCTTCAGTTTAGTTTTTCTGTGGAAATATTCCCGTTTCCAAAGAAATCTTCAAAGAGGTCCACGTATCCACTTACAGATTCTACAAAAAGACAGTTTCAAAACTGCTCCATCAAAAGGAGGGTTCAACTGTGTGACTTGAATGCAATCATCACTCAGAAGTTTCTGAGAATGCTTCTCTTTAGTTTTTACGTGAACATATACCCGTTTCGAACGAAGGCCAGCCAGTGGTCCAAATATCCACTTGCAGATTCTACAGAAAGAGTGTTTCGAACCTGAACTCTCAAAGGCAGGTTCATCTCTGCGAGTTAAATGCATTCATCATGAAGAACTTTCTCAGAGTGTTTGTGTTTAGTTATGGGAAATTATTCCCTTTTCCAACGAAATCCTCAGAGAGCTCCAAATATCCACCTGCAGATTCTACCAAAAGTGTATTTGGAAACTGCTCCATCAAAAGGCATGTTCAGCTCTGTCAGTGAAACTCCATCATCACAAAGAATATTCTGAGAATGCTTCCGTTTGCCTTTTATATGAAGTTCCTTCCTATACTACCGTAGGCCTCAAAGCAGTCCAAATCTCCATTTGCAGATTCTACAAAAAGAGTGATTCCAATCTGCTCTATCAATAGGATTGTTCAACTCCATGAGTTGAATGCCATCCTCACAAAGTAGTTTCTGAGAATGCTTCTATCTAGTTTTTATGTGAAGATATTTCCTTTTCCACCACAGGCCTCAAAGCCCTCCAAACGTCCACTTGCAGATTCTCGAAAAAGAGTGTTTCATAGCTGCTCTTTCAAAAGGAAAGTTCAACTCTGGGAGTTGAATACAAACATCACAAAGTAGTTTCCGAGAATGCTTCTGTTTAGTTTTTATGTGAAGATGATCCCGTTTCCAGTGAAATCTTCAAAGAGGTCCACATATCCCCTTGCAGATTCCAAAGAAAGAGGGTTTCAAAACTGCTCCATCAGAAGGATTGTTCAACTCTGTGAGTTGAATGCAGTCATCGCAGAAAACTTTCTGAGAATGCTTCTGTCTAGGTTTGATGTGAAGATATAGACGTTTCAAACGAAGGCTACAAAGTGGTCAAAATATACACTTGCAGATTCTACTACAAGGGTGTTGCAAACCTGAACTATCAAAGGAAGGTTCAACTCTGTGAATTGAATACAAACATCACAAAGAATGTTCTGAGTTTGCTTCCGTTCAGTTATGGGAAGTTGATCCCGTTTCCAACGAAATCCTCAGAGAGGTCCAAATATCCCCTCGCAGATTCTACAAAACGTGTGTTTGGAAACTGCTCCATCATAACGAATGTTCAGCTCCCTGAGTTAAACTCCATCGTCACAAAGAATTTTCTGAGAGTGCTACCGTCTGGTTTTTATATGAAGTTCTTTCCTTCACTACCACAGGCCTCAAAGCGGTCCAAATCTCCACTTGCAGATTCTACAAAAAGAGTGTTTGCAAACTGCTCTATCAAAAGGAATGTTCAACTCTGGGAGTTGAATGCAATCATCACAGAGCAGTTTCTGAGAATGCTTCTATGTCGTTTTTAGGAGAAGATATTTCCTTTTCCAACACAGTCCTCCAAGCCCGCTAAATAGCCACTTGCACATTGTAGAAAAAGTGTGTCAAAGCTGCGCTATCAAAGGGAAAGTTCAACTCTGTGAGGTGAATGCAAACATCCCAAAGAAGTTTCTGAGAATGCTTCCGTTTAGCTTTTAGGTGAAGATTATCCCGTTTCCAACGAAACCTTCAAAGAGGTCCAAATATCCCCTTGCGGATCCCACAGAAAGAGTGTTTCGAAACTGCTGTTTCAAAAGGAATCTTCAACTCTGTGAGTTGAATGCAATCATCACAAAGAAGTTTCTGACAATGCTTCTCTCTCGTCTTTCTGTGAAGATAAAGGAAAAGGCTTTCAGGCCTTTTCCACCACAGGCCTGAAAGCGCTCCAAATGTCCACTTGCAGATTCTGCGAAAAGAATATTTCAAAACTGCTCTATGAAAAGCAATGTTAAACTCTGTGGCTCGAACACAAACATCACAAAGCGGTTTCTGAGAATGCTTCAGTTTAGTTTTTCTGTGGAAATATTCCCGTTTCCAAAGAAATCTTCAAAGAGGTCCACGTATCCACTTACAGATTCTACAAAAAGACAGTTTCAAAACTGCTCCATCAAAAGGAGGGTTCAACCGTGTGACTTGAATGCAATCATCACTCAGAAGTTTCTGAGAATGCTTCTCTTTAGTTTTTACGTGAACATATACCCGTTTCGAACGAAGGCCACCCAGTGGTCCAAATATCCACTTGCAGATTATACAGAAAGAGTGTTTCGAACCTGAACTCTCAAAGGCAGGTTCATCTCTGCGAGTTAAATGCATTCATCATGAAGAACTTTCTCAGAGTGTTTGTGTTTAGTTATGGGAAATTATTCCCGTTTCCAACGAAATCCTCAGAGAGCTCCAAATATCCACCTGCAGATTCTACCAAAAGTGTATTTGGAAACGGCTCCATCAAAAGGCATGTTCAGCTCTGTGAGTGAAACTCCATCATCACAAAGAATATTCTGAGAATGCTTCCGTTTGCCTTTTATATGAAGTTCCTTCCTGTACTACCGTAGGCCTCAAAGCAGTCCAAATCTCCATTTGCAGATTCTATAAAAAGAGTGATTCCAATCTGCTCTATCAATAGGATTGTTCAACTCCATGAGTTGAATGCCATCCTCACAAAGTAGTTTCTGAGAATGCTTCTATCTGGTTTTTGTGTGAAGATATTTCCTTTTCCACCACAGGCCTCAAAGCCCTCCAAACGTCCACTTGCAGATTCTCGAAAAAGAGTGTTTCATAGCTGCTCTTTCAAAAGGAAAGTTCAACTCTGGGAGTTGAATACAAACATCACAAAGTAGTTTCCGAGAATGCTTCTGTTTAGTTTTTATGTGAAGATGATCCCGTTTCCAGTGAAATCTTCAAAGAGGTCCACATATCCCCTTGCAGATTCCAAAGAAAGAGGGTTTCAAAACTGCTCCATCAGAAGGATTGTTCAACTCTGTGAGTTGAATGCAGTCATCGCAGAAAACTTTCTGAGAATGCTTCTGTCTAGGTTTGATGTGAAGATATAGACGTTTCAAACGAAGGCTACAAAGTGGTCAAAATATACACTTGCAGATTCTACTACAAGGGTGTTGCAAACCTGAACTATCAAAGGAAGGTTCAACTCTGTGAGTTGAATACAAACATCACAAAGAATGTTCTGAGTTTGCTTCCGTTCAGTTATGGGAAGTTGATCCCGTTTCCAACCAAATCCTCAGAGAGGTCCAAATATCCCCTTGCAGATTCTACAAAACGTGTGTTTGGAAACTGCTCCATCATAACGAATGTTCAGCTCCCTGAGTTAAACTCCATCGTCACAAAGAATTTTCTGAGAGTGCTACCGTCTGGTTTTTATATGAAGCTCTTTCCTTCACTACCACAGGCCTCAAAGCGGTCCAAATCTCCACTTGCAGATTCTACAAAAAGAGTGTTTGCAAACTGCTCTATCAAAAGGAATGTTCAACTCTGGGAGTTGAATGCAATCATCACAGAGCAGTTTCTGAGAATGCTTCTATGTCGTTTTTAGGAGAAGATATTTCCTTTTCCAACACAGTCCTCCAAGCCCGCTAAATAGCCACTTGCACATTGTAGAAAACGTGTGTCAAAGCTGCGCTATCAAAGGGAAAGTTCAACTCTGTGAGGTGAATGCAAACATCCCAAAGAAGTTTCTGAGAATGCTTCCGTTTAGCTTTTAGGTGAAGATTATCCCGTTTCCAACGAAACCTTCAAAGAGGTCCAAATATCCCCTTGCGGATCCCACAGAAAGAGTGTTTCGAAACTGCTGTTTCAAAAGGAATCTTCAACTCTGTGAGTTGAATGCAATCATCACAAAGAAGTTTCTGACAATGCTTCTCTCTCGTCTTTCTGTGAAGATAAAGGAAAAGGCTTTCAGGCCTTTTCCACCACAGGCCTGAAAGCGCTCCAAATGTCCACTTGCAGATTCTGCCAAAAGAATATTTCAAAACTGCTCTATGAAAAGCAATGTTAAACTCTGTGGCTGGAACACAAACATCACAAAGCGGTTTCTGAGAATGTTTCAGTTTAGTTTTTCTGTGGAAATATTCCCGTTTCCAAAGAAATCTTCAAAGAGGTCCACGTATCCACTTACAGATTCTACAAAAAGACAGTTTCAAAACTGCTCCATCAAAAGGAGGGTTCAACTGTGTGACTTGAATGCAATCATCACTCAGAAGTTTCTGAGAATGCTTCTCTTTAGTTTTTACGTGAACATATACCCGTTTCGAACGAAGGCCACCCAGTGGTCCAAATATCCACTTGCAGATTATACAGAAAGAGTGTTTCGAACCTGAACTCTCAAAGGCAGGTTCATCTCTGCGAGTTAAATGCATTCATCATGAAGAACTTTCTCAGAGTGTTTGTGTTTAGTTATGGGAAATTATTCCCGTTTCCAACGAAATCCTCAGAGAGCTCCAAATATCCACCTGCAGATTCTACCAAAAGTGTATTTGGAAACTGCTCCATCAAAAGGCATGTTCAGCTCTGTGAGTGAAACTCCATCATCACAAAGAATATTCTGAGAATGCTTCCGTTTGCCTTTTATATGAAGTTCCTTCCTGTACTACTGTAGGCCTCAAAGCAGTCCAAATCTCCATTTGCAGATTCTACAAAAAGAGTGATTCCAATCTGCTCTATCAATAGGATTGTTCAACTCCATGAGTTGAATGCCATCCTCACAAAGTAGTTTCTGAGAATGCTTCTATCTGGTTTTTGTGTGAAGATATTTCCTTTTCCACCACAGGCCTCAAAGCCCTCCAAACGTCCACTTGCAGATTCTCGAAAAAGAGTGTTTCATAGCTGCTCTTTCAAAAGGAAAGTTCAACTCTGGGAGTTGAATACAAACATCACAAAATAGTTTCCGAGAATGCTTCTGTTTAGTTTTTATGTGAAGATGATCCCGTTTCCAGTGAAATCTTCAAAGAGGTCCACATATCCCCTTGCAGATTCCAAAGAAAGAGGGTTTCAAAACTGCTCCATCAAAAGGATTGTTCAACTCTGTGAGTTGAATGCAGTCATCGCAGAAAACTTTCTGAGAATGCTTCTTTCTAGGTTTGATGTGAAGATATAGACGTTTCAAACGAAGGCTACAAAGTGGTCAAAATATACACTTGCAGATTCTACTACAAGGGTGTTGCAAACCTGAACTATCAAAGGAAGGTTCAACTCTGTGAGTTGAATACAAACATCACAAAGAATGTTCTGAGTTTGCTTCCGTTCAGTTATGGGAAGTTGATCCCGTTTCCAACGAAATCCTCAGAGAGGTCCAAATATCCCCTTGCAGATTCTGCAAAACGTGTGTTTGGGAACTGCTCCATCATAACGAATGTTCAGCTCTCTGAGTTAAACTCCATCGTCACAAAGTTTTTTCTGAGAGTGCTACCGTCTAGTTTTTATATGAAGTTCTTTCCTTTACTACCACAGGCCTCAAAGCGGTCCAAATCTCCACTTGCAGATTCTACAAAAAGAGTGTTTGCAAACTGCTCTATCAAAAGGAATGTTCAACTATGGGAGTTGAATGCAATCATCACAGAGCAGTTCCTGAGAATGCTTCTATGTTGTTTTTAGGAGAAGATATTTCCTTTTCCAACACAGTCCTCCAAGCCCGCTAAATATCCACTTGCACATTGTAGAAAAAGTGGGTCGAAGCTGCGCTATCAAAGGGAAAGTTCAACTCTGTGAGGTGAATGCAAACATCCCAAAGAAGTTTCTGAGAATGCTTCCGTTTAGCTTTTAGGTGAAGATTATCCCGTTTCCAACGAAATCTTCAAAGAGGTCCAAATATCCCCTTGCGGATCCCACAGAAAGAGTGTTTCGAAACTGCTGTTTCAAAAGGAATCTTCAACTCTGTGAGTTGAATGCAATCATCACAAAGAAGTTTCTGACAATTCTTCTCTCTCGTCTTTCTGTGAAGATAAAGGAAAAGGCTTTCAGGCCTTTTCCACCACAGGCCTGAAAGCGCTCCAAATGTCCACTTGCAGATTCTGCCAAAAGAATATTTCAAAACTGCTCTATGAAAAGCAATGTTAAACTCTGCGGCTCGAACACCAACATCACAACGCAGTTTCTGAGAATGCTTCAGTTTAGTTTTTCTGTGGAAATATTCCCCTTTCCAAAGAAATCTTCAAAGAGGTCCACGTATCCACTTACAGATTCTACAAAAAGACAGTTTCAAAACTGCTCAAACAAAAGGCGGGTTCAACTGTGTGACTTGAATGCAATCATCACTCAGAAGTTTCTGAGAATGCTTCTCTTTAGTTTTTACGTGAACATATACCCGTTTCGAACGAAGGCCACCCAGTGGTCCAAATATCCACTTGCAGATTCTACAGAAAGAGTGTTTCGAACCTTAACTCTCAAAGGCAGGTTCATCTCTGCGAGTTAAATGCATTCATCATGAAGAACTTTCTCAGAGTGTTTGTGTTTAGTTATGGGAAATTATTCCCGTTTCCAACGAAATCCTCCGAGAGGTCCAAATATCCACCTGCAGATTCTACCAAAAGTGTATTTGGAAACTGCTCCATCAAAAGGCATGTTCAGCTCTGTGAGTGAAACTCCATCATCACAAAGAATATTCTGAGAATGCTTCCGTTTGCCTTTTATATGAAGTTCCTTCCTATACTACCGTAGGCCTCAAAGCAGTCCAAATCTCCATTTGCAGATTCTACAAAAAGAGTGATTCCAATCTGCTCTATCAATAGGATTGTTCAACTCCATGAGTTGAATGCCATCCTCACAAAGTCGTTTCTGAGAATGCTTCTATCTAGTTTTTATGTGAAGATATTTCCTTTTCCACCACAGGCCTCAAAGCCCTCCAAACGTCCACTTGCAGATTCTCGAAAAAGAGTGTTTCATAGCTGCTCTTTCAAAAGGAAAGTTCAACTCTGGGAGTTGAATACAAACATCACAAAGTAGTTTCCGAGAATGCTTCTGTTTAGTTCTTATGTGAAGATGATCCCGTTTCCAGTGAAATCTTCAAAGAGGTCCACATATCCCCTTGCAGATTCCAAAGAAAGAGGGTTTCAAAACTGCTCCATCAAAAGGATTGTTCAACTCTGTGAGTTGAATGCAGTCATCGCAGAAAACTTTCTGAGAATGCTTCTGTCTAGGTTTGATGTGAAGATATAGACGTTTCAAACGAAGGCTACAAAGTGGTCAAAATATACACTTGCAGATTCTACTACAAGGGTGATGCAAACCTCAACTATCAAAGGAAGGTTCAACTCTGTGAGATGAATGCAACCATCACAAAAAATGTTCTGAGTTTGCTTCCGTTCAGTTATGGGAAATTGATACCGTTTCCAACGAAATCCTCAGAGAGGTCCAAATATCCCCTTGCAGATTCTACAAAACGTGTGTTTGGAAACTGCTCCATCATAACGAATGTTCAGCTCTCTGAGTTAAACTCCATCGTCACAAAGAATTTTCTGAGAGTGCTACCGTCTAGTTTTTATATGAAGTTCTTTCCTTTACTACCACAGGCCTCAAAGCGGTCCAAATCTCCACTTGCAGATTCTACAAAAAGAGTGTTTGCAAACTGCTCTATCAAAAGGAATGTTCAACTCTGGGAGTTGAAAGCAATCATCACAGAGCAGTTTCTGAGAATGCTTCTATGTCGTTTTTAGGAGAAGATATTTCCTTTTCCAACACAGTCCTCCAAGCCCGCTAAATATCCACTTGCACATTGTAGAAAAAGTGTGTCGAAGCTGCGCTATCAAAGGGAAAGTTCAACTCTGTGAGGTGAATGCAAACATCCCAAAGAAGTTTCTGAGAATGCTTCCGTTTAGCTTTTAGGTGAAGATTATCCCGTTTCCAACGAAATCTTCAAAGAGGTCCAAATATCCCCTTGCGGATCCCACAGAAAGAGTGTTTCGAAACTGCTGTTTCAAAAGGAATCTTCAACTCTGTGAGTTGAATGCAATCATCACAAAGAAGTTTCTGACAATGCTTCTCTCTCGTCTTTCTGTGAAGATAAAGGAAAAGGCTTTCAGGCCTTTTCCACCACAGGCCTGAAAGCGCTCCAAATGTCCACTTGCAGATTCTGCCAAAAGAATATTTCAAAACTGCTCTATGAAAAGCAATGTTAAACTCTGCGGCTCGAACACAAACATCACAAAGCAGTTTCTGAGAAAGCTTCAGTTTAGTTTTTCTGTGGAAATATTCCCGTTTCGAAAGAAATCTTCAAAGAGGTCCACGTATCCACTTACAGATTCTACAAAAAGACAGTTTCAAAACTGCTCAATCAAAAGGAGGGTTCAACCGTGTGACTTGAATGCAATCATCACGCAGAAGTTTCTGAGAACGCTTCTCTTTAGTTTTTACGTGAACATATACCCGTTTCGAACGAAGGCCACCCAGTGGTCCAAATATCCACTTGCAGATTCTACAGAAAGAGTGTTTCGAACCTGAACTCTCAAAGGCAGGTTCATCTCTGCGAGTTCAATGCATTCATCATGAAGAACTTTCTCAGCGTGTTTGTGTTTAGTTATGGGAAATTATTGCCGTTTCCAACGAAATCCTCAGAGAGGTCCAAATATCCACCTGCAGATTCTACCAAAAGTGTATTTGGAAACTGCTCCATCAAAAGGCATGTTCAGCTCTGTGAGTGAAACTCCATCATCACAAAGAATATTCTGAGAATGCTTCCGTTTGCCTTTTATATGAAGTTCCTTCCTATACTACCGTAGGCCTCAAAGCAGTCCAAATCTCCATTTGCAGATTCTACAAAAAGAGTGATTCCAATCTGCTCTATCAATAGGATTGTTCAACTCCATGAGTTGAATGCCATCCTCACAAAGTCGTTTCTGAGAATGCTTCTATCTAGTTTTTATGTGAAGATATTTCCTTTTCCACCACAGGCCTCAAAGCCCTCCAAACGTCCACTTGCAGATTCTCGAAAAAGAGTGTTTCATAGCTGCTCTTTCAAAAGGAAAGTTCAACTCTGGGAGTTGAATACAAACATCACAAAGTAGTTTCCGAGAATGCTTCTGTTTAGTTCTTATGTGAAGATGATCCCGTTTCCAGTGAAATCTTCAAAGAGGTCCACATATCCCCTTGCAGATTCCAAAGAAAGAGGGTTTCAAAACTGCTCCATCAAAAGGATTGTTCAACTCTGTGAGTTGAATGCAGTCATCGCAGAAAACTTTCTGAGAATGCTTCTGTCTAGGTTTGATGTGAAGTTATAGACGTTTAAAACGAAGGCTACAAAGTGGTCAAAATATACACTTACAGATTCTACTACAAGGGTGTTGCAAACCTGAACTATCAAAGGAAGGTTCAACTCTGTGGGTTGAATACAAACATCGCAAAGAATGTTCTGAGTTTGCTTCCGTTCAGTTATGGGAAGTTGATCCCGTTTACAACGAAATCCTCAGAGAGGTCCAAATATCCCCTTGCAGATTCTTCAAAACGTGTGTTTGGAAACTGCTCCATCATAACGAATGTTCAGCTCCCTGAGTTAAACTCCATCGTCACAAAGAATTTTCTGAGAGTGCTACCGTCTAGTTTTTATATGAAGTTCTTTCCTTTACTACCACAGGCCTCAAAGCGGTCCAAATCTCCACTTGCAGATTCTACAAAAAGAGTGTCTGCAAACTGCTCTATCAAAAGGAATGTTCAACTCTGGGAATTGAATGCAATCATCACAGAGCAGTTTCTGAGAATGCTTCTATGTCGTTTTTAGGAGAAGATATTTCCTTTTCCAACACAGTCTTCCAAGCCCGCTTAATAGCCACTTGCACATTGTAGAAAAAGTGTGTCGAAGCTGCGCTATCAAAGGGAAAGTTCAACTCTGTGAGGTGAATGCAAACATCCCAAAGAAGTTTCTGAGAATGCTTCCGTTTAGCTTTTAGGTGAAGATTATCCCGTTTCCAACGAAACCTTCAAAGAGGTCCAAATATCCCCTTGCGGATCCCACAGAAAGAGTGTTTAGAAACTGCTGTTTCAAAAGGAATCTTCAACTCTGTGAGTTGAATGCAATCATCACAAAGAAGTTTCTGACAATGCTTCTCTCTCGTCTTTCTGTGAACATAAAGGAAAAGGCGTTCAGGCCTTTGCCACCACAGGCCTGAAAGCGCTCCAAATGTCCACTTGCAGATTCTGCCAAAAGAATATTTCAAAACTGCTCTATGAAAAGCAATGTTAAACTCTGTGGCTCGAACACAAACATCACAAAGCGGTTTCTGAGAATGCTTCAGTTTAGTTTTTCTGTGGAAATATTCCCGTTTCCAAAGAAATCTTCAAAGAGGTCCACGTATCCACTTACAGATTCTACAAAAAGACAGTTTCAAAACTGCTCCATCAAAAGGAGGGTTCAACTGTGTGACTTGAATGCAATCATCACTCAGAAGTTTCTGAGAATGCTTCTCTTTAGTTTTTACGTGAACATATACCCGTTTCGAACGAAGGCCACCCAGTGGTCCAAATATCCACTTGCAGATTCTACAGAAAGAGTGTTTCGAACCTGAACTCTCAAAGGCAGGTTCATCTCTGCGAGTTAAATGCATTCATCATGAAGAACTTTCTCAGAGTGTTTGTGTTTAGTTATGGGAAATTATTCCCGTTTCCAACGAAATCCTCAGAGAGCTCCAAATATCCACCTGCAGATTCTACCAAAAGTGTATTTGGAAACTGCTCCATCAAAAGGCATGTTCAGCTCTGTGAGTGAAACTCCATCATCACAAAGAATATTCTGAGAATGCTTCCGTTTGCCTTTTATATGAAGTTCCTTCCTGTACTACCGTAGGCCTCAAAGCAGTCCAAATCTCCATTTGCAGATTCTACAAAAAGAGTGATTCCAATCTGCTCTATCAATAGGATTGTTCAACTCCATGAGTTGAATGCCATCCTCACAAAGTCGTTTCTGAGAATGCTTCTATCTGGTTTTTGTGTGAAGATATTTCCTTTTCCACCACAGGCCTCAAAGCCCTCCAAACGTCCACTTGCAGATTCTCGAAAAAGAGTGTTTCATAGCTGCTCTTTCAAAAGGAAAGTTCAACTCTGGGAGTTGAATACAAACATCACAAAATAGTTTCCGAGAATGCTTCTGTTTAGTTTTTATGTGAAGATGATCCCGTTTCCAGTGAAATCTTCAAAGAGGTCCACATATCCCCTTGCAGATTCCAAAGAAAGAGGGTTTCAAAACTGCTCCATCAGAAGGATTGTTCAACTCTGTGAGTTGAATGCAGTCATCGCAGAAAACTTTCTGAGAATGCTTCTGTCTAGGTTTGATGTGAAGATATAGACGTTTCAAACGAAGGCTACAAAGTGGTCAAAATATACACTTGCAGATTCTACTACAAGGGTGTTGCAAACCTGAACTATCAAAGGAAGGTTCAACTCTGTGAATTGAATACAAACATCACAAAGAATGTTCTGAGTTTGCTTCCGTTCAGTTATGGGAAGTTGATCCCGTTTCCAACGAAATCCTCAGAGAGGTCCAAATATCCCCTTGCAGATTCTACAAAACGTGTGTTTGGAAACTGCTCCATCATAACGAATGTTCAGCTCCCTGAGTTAAACTCCATCGTCACAAAGAATTTTCTGAGAGTGCTACCGTCTGGTTTTTATATGAAGTTCTTTCCTTCACTACCACAGGCCTCAAAGCGGTCCAAATCTCCACTTGCAGATTCTACAAAAAGAGTGTTTGCAAACTGCTCTATCAAAAGGAATGTTCAACTCTGGGAGTTGAATGCAATCATCACAGAGCAGTTTCTGAGAATGCTTCTATGTCGTTTTTAGGAGAAGATATTTCCTTTTCCAACACAGTCCTCCAAGCCCGCTAAATAGCCACTTGCACATTGTAGAAAAAGTGTGTCAAAGCTGCGCTATCAAAGGGAAAGTTCAACTCTGTGAGGTGAATGCAAACATCCCAAAGAAGTTTCTGAGAATGCTTCCGTTTAGCTTTTAGGTGAAGATTATCCCGTTTCCAACGAAAGCTTCAAAGAGGTCCAAATATCCCCTTGCGGATCCCACAGAAAGAGTGTTTCGAAACTGCTGTTTCAAAAGGAATCTTCAACTCTGTGAGTTGAATGCAATCATCACAAAGAAGTTTCTGACAATGCTTCTCTCTCGTCTTTCTGTGAACATAAAGGAAAAGGCGTTCAGGCCTTTGCCACCACAGGCCTGAAAGCGCTCCAAATGTCCACTTGCAGATTCTGCCAAAAGAATATTTCAAAACTGCTCTATGAAAAGCAATGTTAAACTCTGTGGCTCGAACACAAACATCACAAAGCGGTCTCTGAGAATGCTTCAGTTTAGTTTTTCTGTGGAAATATTCCCGTTTCCAAAGAAATCTTCAAAGAGGTCCACGTATCCACTTACAGATTCTACAAAAAGACAGTTTCAAAACTGCTCAATCAAAAGGAGGGTTCAACTGTGTGACTTGAATGCAATCATCACTCAGAAGTTTCTGAGAATGCTTCTCTTTAGTTTTTACGTGAACATATACCCGTTTCGAACGAAGGCCACCCAGTGGTCCAAATGTCCACTTGCAGATTCTACAGAAAGAGTGTTTCGAACCTGAACTCTCAAAGGCAGGTTCATCTCTGCGAGTTAAATGCATTCATCATGAAGAACTTTCTCAGCGTGTTTGTGTTTAGTTATGGGAAATTATTCCCGTTCCCAACGAAATCCTCAGAGAGGTCCAAATGTCCACCTGCAGATTCTACCAAAAGTGTATTTGGAAACTGCTCCATCAACAGGCATGTTCAGCTCTGTGAGTGAAACTCCATCATCACAAAGAATATTCTGAGAATGCTTCCGTTTGCCTTTTATATGAAGTTCCTTCCTATACGTCCGTAGGCCTCAAAGCAGTGCAAATCTCCATTTGCAGATTCTACAAAAAGAGTGATTCCAATCTGCTCTATCAATAGGATTGTTCAACTCCATGAGTTGAATGCCATCCTCACAAAGTCGTTTCTGAGAATGCTTCTATCTAGTTTTTATGTGAAGATATTTCCTTTTCCACCACAGGCCTCAAAGCCCTCCAAACGTCCACTTGCAGATTCTCGAAAAGGAGTGTTTCATAGCTGCTCTTTCAAAAGGAAAGTTCAACTCTGGGAGTTGAATACAAACATCACAAAGTAGTTTCCGAGAATGCTTCTGTTTAGTTTTTATGTGAAGATGATCCCGTTTCCAGTGAAATCTTCAAAGAGGTCCACATATCCCCTTGCAGATTCCAAAGAAAGAGGGTTTCAAAACTGCTCCATCAGAAGGATTGTTCAACTCTGTGAGTTGAATGCAGTCATCGCAGAAAACTTTCTGAGAATGCTTCTGTCTAGGTTTGATGTGAAGATATAGACGTTTCAAACGAAGGCTACAAAGTGGTCAAAATATACACTTGCAGATTCTACTACAAGGGTGTTGCAAACCTGAACTATCAAAGGAAGGTTCAACTCTGTGAGTTGAATACAAACATCACAAAGAATGTTCTGAGTTTGCTTCCGTTCAGTTATGGGAAGTTGATCCCGTTTCCAACGAAATCCTCAGAGAGGTCCAAATATCCCCTTGCAGATTCTACAAAACGTGTGTTTGGAAACTGCTCCATCATAACGAATGTTCAGCTCCCTGAGTTAAACTCCATCGTCACAAAGAATTTTCTGAGAGTGCTACCGTCTGGTTTTTATATGAAGTTCTTTCCTTCACTACCACAGGCCTCAAAGCGGTCCAAATCTCCACTTGCAGATTCTACAAAAAGAGTGTTTGCAAACTGCTCTATCAAAAGGAATGTTCAACTCTGGGAGTTGAATGCAATCATCACAGAGCAGTTTCTGAGAATGCTTCTATGTCGTTTTTAGGAGAAGATATTTCCTTTTCCAACACAGTCCTCCAAGCCCGCTAAATAGCCACTTGCACATTGTAGAAAAAGTGTGTCAAAGCTGCGCTATCAAAGGGAAAGTTCAACTCTGTGAGGTGAATGCAAACATCCCAAAGAAGTTTCTGAGAATGCTTCCGTTTAGCTTTTAGGTGAAGATTATCCCGTTTCCAACGAAACCTTCAAAGAGGTCCAAATATCCCCTTGCGGATCCCACAGAAAGAGTGTTTCGAAACTGCTGTTTCAAAAGGAATCTTCAACTCTGTGAGTTGAATGCAATCATCACAAAGAAGTTTCTGACAATGCTTCTCTCTCGTCTTTCTGTGAAGATAAAGGAAAAGGCTTTCAGGCCTTTGCCACCACAGGCCTGAAAGCGCTCCAAATGTCCACTTGCAGATTCTGCCAAAAGAATATTTCAAAACTGCTCTATGAAAAGCAATGTTAAACTCTGTGGCTGGAACACAAACATCACAAAGCGGTTTCTGAGAATGTTTCAGTTTAGTTTTTCTGTGGAAATATTCCCGTTTCCAAAGAAATCTTCAAAGAGGTCCACGTATCCACTTACAGATTCTACAAAAAGACAGTTTCAAAACTGCTCCATCAAAAGGAGGGTTCAACCGTGTGACTTGAATGCAATCATCACTCAGAAGTTTCTGAGAATGCTTCTCTTTAGTTTTTACGTGAACATATACCCGTTTCGAACGAAGGCCACCCAGTGGTCCAAATATCCACTTGCAGATTCTACAGAAAGAGTGTTTCGAACCTGAACTCTCAAAGGCAGGTTCATCTCTGCGAGTTAAATGCATTCATCATGAAGAACTTTCTCAGAGTGTTTGTGTTTAGTTATGGGAAATTATTCCCGTTTCCAACGAAATCCTCAGAGAGCTCCAAATATCCACCTGCAGATTCTACCAAAAGTGTATTTGGAAACTGCTCCATCAAAAGGCATGTTCAGCTCTGTGAGTGAAACTCCATCATCACAAAGAATATTCTGAGAATGCTTCCGTTTGCCTTTTATATGAAGTTCCTTCCTGTACTACTGTAGGCCTCAAAGCAGTCCAAATCTCCATTTGCAGATTCTACAAAAAGAGTGATTCCAATCTGCTCTATCAATAGGATTGTTCAACTCCATGAGTTGAATGCCATCCTCACAAAGCAGTTTCTGAGAATGCTTCTATCTGGTTTTTGTGTGAAGATATTTCCTTTTCCACCACAGGCCTCAAAGCCCTCCAAACGTCCACTTGCAGATTCTCGAAAAAGAGTGTTTCATAGCTGCTCTTTCAAAAGGAAAGTTCAACTCTGGGAGTTGAATACAAACATCACAAAATAGTTTCCGAGAATGCTTCTGTTTAGTTTTTATGTGAAGATGATCCCGTTTCCAGTGAAATCTTCAAAGAGGTCCACATATCCCCTTGCAGATTCCAAAGAAAGAGGGTTTCAAAACTGCTCCATCAGAAGGATTGTTCAACTCTGTGAGTTGAATGCAGTCATCGCAGAAAACTTTCTGAGAATGCTTCTGTCTAGGTTTGATGTGAAGATATAGACGTTTCAAACGAAGGCTACAAAGTGGTCAAAATATACACTTGCAGATTCTACTACAAGGGTGTTGCAAACCTGAACTATCAAAGGAAGGTTCAACTCTGTGAGTTGAATACAAACATCACAAAGAATGTTCTGAGTTTGCTTCCGTTCAGTTATGGGAAGTTGATCCCGTTTCCAACGAAATCCTCAGAGAGGTCCAAATATCCCCTTGCAGATTCTACAAAACGTGTGTTTGGAAACTGCTCCATCATAACGAATGTTCAGCTCCCTGAGTTAAACTCCATCGTCACAAAGAATTTTCTGAGAGTGCTACCGTCTGGTTTTTATATGAAGTTCTTTCCTTCACTACCACAGGCCTCAAAGCGGTCCAAATCTCCACTTGCAGATTCTACAAAAAGAGTGTTTGCAAACTGCTCTATCAAAAGGAATGTTCAACTCTGGGAGTTGAATGCAATCATCACAGAGCAGTTTCTGAGAATGCTTCTATGTCGTTTTTAGGAGAAGATATTTCCTTTTCCAACACAGTCCTCCAAGCCCGCTAAATAGCCACTTGCACATTGTAGAAAAAGTGTGTCAAAGCTGCGCTATCAAAGGGAAAGTTCAACTCTGTGAGGTGAATGCAAACATCCCAAAGAAGTTTCTGAGAATGCTTCCGTTTAGCTTTTAGGTGAAGATTATCCCGTTTCCAACGAAACCTTCAAAGAGGTCCAAATATCCCCTTGCGGATCCCACAGAAAGAGTGTTTCGAAACTGCTGTTTCAAAAGGAATCTTCAACTCTGTGAGTTGAATGCAATCATCACAAAGAAGTTTCTGACAATGCTTCTCTCTCGTCTTTCTGTGAAGATAAAGGAAAAGGCTTTCAGGCCTTTTCCCAACCACAGGCCTGAAAGCGCTCCAAATGTCCACTTGCAGATTCTGCCAAAAGAATATTTCAAAACTGCTCTATGAAAAGCAATGTTAAACTCTGTGGCTCGAACACAAACATCACAAAGCAGTTTCTGAGAATGCTTCAGTTTAGTTTTTCTGTGGAAATATTCCCGTTTCCAAAGAAATCTTCAAAGAGGTCCACGTATCCACTTACAGATTCTACAAAAAGACAGTTTCAAAACTGCTCCATCAAAAGGAGGGTTCAACTGTGTGACTTGAATGCAATCATCACTCAGAAGTTTCTGAGAATGCTTCTCTTTAGTTTTTACGTGAACATATACCCGTTTTGAACGAAGGCCACCCAGTGGTCCAAATATCCACTTGCAGATTCTACAGAAAGAGTGTTTCGAACCTGAACTCTCAAAGGCAGGTTCATCTCTGCGAGTTAAATGCATTCATCATGAAGAACTTTCTCAGAGTGTTTGTGTTTAGTTATGGGAAATTATTCCCGTTTCCAACGAAATCCTCAGAGAGCTCCAAATATCCACCTGCAGTTTCTACCAAAAGTGTAGTTGGAAACTGCTCCATCAAAAGGCATGTTCAGCTCTGTGAGTGAAACTCCATCATCACAAAGAATATTCTGAGAATGCTTCCGTTTGCCTTTTATATGAAGTTCCTTCCTATACGACCGTAGGCCTCAAAGCAGTCCAAATCTCCATTTGCAGATTCTACAAAAAGAGTGATTCCAATCTGCTCTATCAATAGGATTGTTCAACTCCATGAGTTGAAAGCCATCCTCACGAAGTAGTTTCTGAGAATGCTTCTATCTAGTTTTTATGTGAAGATATTTCCTTTTCCACCACAGGCCTCAAAGCCCTCCAAACGTCCACTTGCAGATTCTCGAAAAAGAGTGTTTCATAGCTGCTCTTTCAAAAGGAAAGTTCAACTCTGGGAGTTGAATACAAACATCACAAAGTAGTTTCCGAGAATGCTTCTGTTTAGTTTTTATGTGAAGATGATCCCGTTTCCAGTGAAATCTTCAAAGAGGTCCACATATCCCCTTGCAGATTCCAAAGAAAGAGGGTATCAAAACTGCTCCATCAGAAGGATTGTTCAACTCTGTGAGTTGAATGCAGTCATCGCAGAAAACTTTCTGAGAATGCTTCTGTCTAGGTTTGATGTGAAGATATAGACGTTTCAAACGAAGGCTACAAAGTGGTCAAAATATACACTTGCAGATTCTACTACAAGGGTGTTGCAAACCTGAACTATCAAAGGAAGGTTCAACTCTGTGAGTTGAATACAAACATCACAAAGAATGTTCTGAGTTTGCTTCCGTTCAGTTATGGGAAGTTGATCCCGTTTCCAACGAAATCCTCAGAGAGGTCCAAATATCCCCTTGCAGATTCTACAAAACGTGTGTTTGGAAACTGCTCCATCATAACGAATGTTCAGCTCCCTGAGTTAAACTCCATCGTCACAAAGAATTTTCTGAGAGTGCTACCGTCTGGTTTTTATATGAAGCTCTTTCCTTCACTACCACAGGCCTGAAAGCGGTCCAAATCTCCACTTGCAGATTCTACAAAAAGAGTGTTTGCAAACTGCTCTATCAAAAGGAATGTTCAACTCTGGGAGTTGAATGCAATCATCACAGAGCAGTTTCTGAGAATGCTTCTATGTCGTTTTTAGGAGAAGATATTTCCTTTTCCAACACAGTACCCCAAGCCCGCTAAATAGCCACTTGCACATTGTAGAAAAAGTGTGTCAAAGCTGCGCTATCAAAGGGAAAGTTCAACTCTGTGAGGTGAATGCAAACATCCCAAAGAAGTTTCTGAGAATGCTTCCGTTTAGCTTTTAGGTGAAGATTATCCCGTTTCCAACGAAACCTTCAAAGAGGTCCAAATATCCCCTTGCGGATCCCACAGAAAGAGTGTTTCGAAACTGCTGTTTCAAAAGGAATCTTCAACTCTGTGAGTTGAATGCAATCATCACAAAGAAGTTTCTGACAATGCTTCTCTCTCGTCTTTCTGTGAAGATAAAGGAAAAGGCTTTCAGGCCTTTTCCACCACAGGCCTGAAAGCGCTCCAAATGTCCACTTGCAGATTCTGCGAAAAGAATATTTCAAAACTGCTCTATGAAAAGCAATGTTAAACTCTGTGGCTCGAACACAAACATCACAAAGCGGTTTCTGAGAATGCTTCAGTTTAGTTTTTCTGTGGAAATATTCCCGTTTCCAAAGAAATCTTCAAAGAGGTCCACGTATCCACTTACAGATTCTACAAAAAGACAGTTTCAAAACTGCTCCATCAAAAGGAGGGTTCAACCGTGTGACTTGAATGCAATCATCACTCAGAAGTTTCTGAGAATGCTTCTCTTTAGTTTTTACGTGAACATATACCCGTTTCGAACGAAGGCCACCCAGTGGTCCAAATATCCACTTGCAGATTATACAGAAAGAGTGTTTCGAACCTGAACTCTCAAAGGCAGGTTCATCTCTGCGAGTTAAATGCATTCATCATGAAGAACTTTCTCAGAGTGTTTGTGTTTAGTTATGGGAAATTATTCCCGTTTCCAACGAAATCCTCAGAGAGCTCCAAATATCCACCTGCAGATTCTACCAAAAGTGTATTTGGAAACTGCTCCATCAAAAGGCATGTTCAGCTCTGTGAGTGAAACTCCATCATCACAAAGAATATTCTGAGAATGCTTCCGTTTGCCTTTTATATGAAGTTCCTTCCTGTACTACCGTAGGCCTCAAAGCAGTCCAAATCTCCATTTGCAGATTCTACAAAAAGAGTGATTCCAATCTGCTCTATCAATAGGATTGTTCAACTCCATGAGTTGAATGCCATCCTCACAAAGTAGTTTCTGAGAATGCTTCTATCTGGTTTTTGTGTGAAGATATTTCCTTTTCCACCACAGGCCTCAAAGCCCTCCAAACGTCCACTTGCAGATTCTCGAAAAAGAGTGTTTCATAGCTGCTCTTTCAAAAGGAAAGTTCAACTCTGGGAGTTGAATACAAACATCACAAAATAGTTTCCGAGAATGCTTCAGTTTAGTTTTTATGTGAAGATGATCCCGTTTCCAGTGAAATCTTCAAAGAGGTCCACATATCCCCTTGCAGATTCCAAAGAAAGAGGGTTTCAAAACTGCTCCATCAGAAGGATTGTTCAACTCTGTGAGTTGAATGCAGTCATCGCAGAAAACTTTCTGAGAATGCTTCTGTCTAGGTTTGATGTGAAGATATAGATATTTCAAACGAAGGCTACAAAGTGGTCAAAATATACACTTGCAGATTCTACTACAAGGGTGTTGCAAACCTGAACTATCAAAGGAAGGTTCAACTCTGTGAGTTGAATACAAACATCACAAAGAATGTTCTGAGTTTGCTTCCGTTCAGTTATGGGAAGTTGATCCCGTTTCCAACGAAATCCTCAGAGAGGTCCAAATATCCCCTTGCAGATTCTACAAAACGTGTGTTTGGAAACTGCTCCATCATAACGAATGTTCAGCTCCCTGAGTTAAACTCCATCGTCACAAAGAATTTTCTGAGAGTGCTACCGTCTGGTTTTTATATGAAGTTCTTTCCTTCACTACCACAGGCCTCAAAGCGGTCCAAATCTCCACTTGCAGATTCTACAAAAAGAGTGTTTGCAAACTGCTCTATCAAAAGGAATGTTCAACTCTGGGAGTTGAATGCAATCATCACAGAGCAGTTTCTGAGAATGCTTCTATGTCGTTTTTAGGAGAAGATATTTCCTTTTCCAACACAGTCCTCCAAGTCCGCTAAATAGCCACTTGCACATTGTAGAAAAAGTGTGTCAAAGCTGCGCTATCAAAGGGAAAGTTCAACTCTGTGAGGTGAATGCAAACATCCCAAAGAAGTTTCTGAGAATGCTTCCGTTTAGCTTTTAGGTGAAGATTATCCCGTTTCCAACGAAACCTTCAAAGAGGTCCAAATATCCCCTTGCGGATCCCACAGAAAGAGTGTTTCGAAACTGCTGTTTCAAAAGGAATCTTCAACTCTGTGAGTTGAATGCAATCATCACAAAGAAGTTTCTGACAATGCTTCTCTCTCGTCTTTCTGTGAAGATAAAGGAAAAGGCTTTCAGGCCTTTTCCACCACAGGCCTGAAAGCGCTCCAAATGTCCACTTGCAGATTCTGCGAAAAGAATATTTCAAAACTGCTCTATGAAAAGCAATGTTAAACTCTGTGGCTCGAACACAAACATCACAAAGCAGTTTCTGAGAATGCTTCAGTTTAGTTTTTCTGTGGAAATATTCCCGTTTCCAAAGAAATCTTCAAAGAGGTCCACGTATCCACTTACAGATTCTACAAAAAGACAGTTTCAAAACTGCTCCATCAAAAGGAGGGTTCAACTGTGTGACTTGAATGCAATCATCACTCAGAAGTTTCTGAGAATGCTTCTCTTTAGTTTTTACGTGAACATATACCCGTTTCGAACGAACGCCACCCAGTGGTCCAAATATCCACTTGCAGATTCTACAGAAAGAGTGTTTCGAACCTGAACTCTCAAAGGCAGGTTCATCTCTGCGAGTTAAATGCATTCATCATGAAGAACTTTCTCAGAGTGTTTGTGTTTAGTTATGGGAAATTATTCCCGTTTCCAACGAAATCCTCAGAGTGGTCCAAATATCCACCTGCAGATTCTACCAAAAGTGTATTTGGAATCTGCTCCATCAAAAGGCATGTTCAGCTCTGTGAGTGAAACTCCATCATCACAAAGAATATTCTGAGAATGCTTCCGTTTGCCTTTTATATGAAGTTCCTTCCTGTACTACTGTAGGCCTCAAAGCAGTCCAAATCTCCATTTGCAGATTCTACAAAAAGAGTGATTCCAATCTGCTCTATCAATAGGATTGTTCAACTCCATGAGTTGAATGCCATCCTCACAAAGTAGTTTCTGAGAATGCTTCTATCTGGTTTTTGTGTGAAGATATTTCCTTTTCCACCACAGGCCTCAAAGCCCTCCAAACGTCCACTTGCAGATTCTAGAAAAAGAGTGTTTCATAGCTGCTCTTTCAAAAGGAAAGTTCAACTCTGGGAGTTGAATACAAACATCACAAAATAGTTTCCGAGAATGCTTCTGTTTAGTTTTTATGTGAAGATGATCCCGTTTCCAGTGAAATCTTCAAAGAGGTCCACATATCCCCTTGCAGATTCCAAAGAAAGAGGGTTTCAAAACTGCTCCATCAAAAGGATTGTTCAACTCTGTGAGTTGAATGCAGTCATCGCAGAAAACTTTCTGAGAATGCTTCTGTCTAGGTTTGATGTGAAGATATAGACTTTTCAAACGAAGGCTACAAAGTGGTCAAAATATACACTTGCAGATTCTACTACAAGGGTGTTGCCAACCTGAACTATCAAAGGAAGGTTCAACCCTGTGAGTTGAATACAAACATCACAAAGAATGTTCTGAGTTTGCTTCCGTTCAGTTATGGGAAGTTGATCCCGTTTCCAACGAAATCTGCAGAGAGGTCCAAGTATCCCCTTGCAGAGTCTACAAAACGTGTGTTTGGAAACTGCTCCATCATAACGAATGTTCAGCTCTCTGAGTTAAACTCCATCGTCACAAAGAATTTTCTGAGAGTGCTACCGTCTAGTTTTTATAGGAAGTTCTTTCCTTTACTACCACAGGCCTCAAAGCGGTCCAAATCTCCACTTGCAGATTCTACAAAAAGAGTGTTTGCAAACTGCTCTATCAAAAGGAATGTTCAACTCTGGGAGTTGAATGCAATCATCACAGAGCAGTTTCTGAGAATGCTTCTATGTGGTTTTTAGGAGAAGATATTTCCTTTTCCACCACATTCCTCCAAGCCCGCTAAAAATCCACTTGCACATTGTAGAAAAAGTGTGTCAAAGCTGCGCTATCAAAGGGAAAGTACAACTCTGTGAGGTGAATGCAAACATCCCAAAGAAGTTTCTGAGAATGCTTCCGTTTAGATTTTAGGTGAAGATTATCCCGTTTCCAACGAAATCTTCAAAGAGGTCCAAATATCCCCTTGCGGATCCCACAGAAAGAGTGTTTCGAAACTGCTGTTTCAAAAGGAATCTTCAACTCTGTGAGTTGAATGCAATCATCACAAAGAAGTTTCTGACAATGCTTCTCTCTCGTCTTTCTGTGAAGATAAAGGAAAAGGCTTTCAGGCCTTTTCCACCACAGGCCTGAAAGCGCTCCAAATGTCCACTTGCAGATTCTGCGAAAAGAATATTTCAAAACTGCTCTATGAGAAGCAATGTTAAACTCTGTGGCTCGAACACAAACATCACAAAGCAGTTTCTGAGAATGCTTCAGTTTAGTTTTTCTGTGGAAATATTCCCGTTTCCAAAGAAATCTTCAAAGAGGTCCACGTATCCACTTACAGATTCTACAAAAAGACAGTTTCAAAACTGCTCCATCAAAAGGAGGGTTCAACCGTGTGACTTGAATGCAATCATCACTCAGAAGTTTCTGAGAATGCTTCTCTTTAGTTTTTACGTGAACATATACCCGTTTCGAACGAAGGCCACCCAGTGGTCCAAATATCCACTTGCAGATTATACAGAAAGAGTGTTTCGAACCTGAACTCTCAAAGGCAGGTTCATCTCTGCGAGTTAAATGCATTCATCATGAAGAACTTTCTCAGAGTGTTTGTGTTTAGTTATGGGAAATTATTCCCGTTTCCAACGAAATCCTCAGAGAGCTCCAAATATCCACCTGCAGATTCTACCAAAAGTGTATTTGGAAACTGCTCCATCAAAAGGCATGTTCAGCTCTGTGAGTGAAACTCCATCATCACAAAGAATATTCTGAGAATGCTTCCGTTTGCCTTTTATATGAAGTTCCTTCCTGTACTACCGTAGTCCTCAAAGCAGTCCAAATCTCCATTTGCAGATTCTACAAAAAGAGTGATTCCAATCTGCTCTATCAATAGGATTGTTCAACTCCATGAGTTGAATGCCATCCTCACAAAGTAGTTTCTGAGAATGCTTCTATCTGGTTTTTGTGTGAAGATATTTCCTTTTCCACCACAGGCCTCAAAGCCCTCCAAACGTCCACTTGCAGATTCTCGAAAAAGAGTGTTTCATAGCTGCTCTTTCAAAAGGAAAGTTCAACTCTGGGAGTTGAATACAAACATCACAAAATAGTTTCCGAGAATGCTTCTGTTTAGTTCTTATGTGAAGATGATCCCGTTTCCAGTGAAATCTTCAAAGAGGTCCACATATCCCCTTGCAGATTCCAAAGAAAGAGGGTTTCAAAACTGCTCCATCAAAAGGATTGTTCAACTCTGTGAGTTGAATGCAGTCATCGCAGAAAACTTTCTGAGAATGCTTCTGTCTAGGTTTGATGTGAAGATATAGACGTTTCAAACGAAGGCTACAAAGTGGTCAAAATATACACTTGCAGATTCTACTACAAGGGTGTTGCAAACCTGAACTATCAAAGGAAGGTTCAACTCTGTGGGTTGAATACAAACATCACAAAGAATGTTCTGAGTTTGCTTCCGTTCAGTTATGGGAAGTTGATCCCCTTCCCAACGAAATCCTCAGAGAGGTCCAAATATCCCCTTGCAGATTCTACAAAACGTGTGTTTGGAAACTGCTCCATCATAACGAATGTTCAGCTCTCTGAGTTAAACTCCATCGTCACAAAGAATTTTCTGAGAGTGCTACCGTCTAGTTTTTATATGAAGTTCTTTCCTTTACTACCACAGGCCTCAAAGCGGTCCAAATCTCCACTTGCAGATTCTACAAAAAGAGTGTCTGCAAACTGCTCTATCAAAAGGAATGTTCAACTCTGGGAGTTGAATGCAATCATCACAGAGCAGTTTCTGAGAAGGCTTCTATGTCGTTTTTAGGAGAAGATATTTCCTTTTCCAACACAGTCCTCCAAGCCCGCTAAATATCCACTTGCACATTGTAGAAAAAGTGTGTCGAAGCTGCGCTATCAAAGGGAAAGTTCAACTCTGTGAGGTGAATGCAAACATCCCAAAGAAGTTTCTGAGAATGCTTCCGTTTAGCTTTTAGGTGAAGATTATCCCGTTTCCAACGAAAGCTTCAAAGAGGTCCAAATATCCCCTTGCGGATCCCACAGAAAGAGTGTTTCGAAACTGCTGTTTCAAAAGGAATCTTCAACTCTGTGAGTTGAATGCAATCATCACAAAGAAGTTTCTGACAATGCTTCTCTCTCGTCTTTCTGTGAAGATAAAGGAAAAGGCTTTCAGGTCTTTTCCACCACAGGCCTGAAAGCGCTCCAAATGTCCACTTGCAGATTCTGCCAAAAGAATATTTCAAAACTGCTCTATGAAAAGCAATGTTAAACTCTGCGGCTCGAACACAAACATCACAAAACAGTTTCTGAGAATGCTTCAGTTTAGTTTTTCTGTGGAAATATTCCCGTTTCCAAAGAAATCTTCAAAGAGGTCCACGTATCCACTTACAGATTCTACAAAAAGACAGTTTCAAAACTGCTCAATCAAAAGGAGGGTTCAACTGTGTGACTTGAATGCAATCATCACTCAGAAGTTTCTGAGAATGCTTCTCTTTAGTTTTTACGTGAACATATACCCGTTTCGAACGAAGGCCACCCAGTGGTCCAAATATCCACTTGCAGATTCTACAGAAAGAGTGTTTCGAACCTGAACTCTCAAAGGCAGGTTCATCTCTGCGAGTTAAATGCATTCGTCATGAAGAACTTTCTCAGCGTGTTTGTGTTTAGTTATGGGAAATTATTCCCTTTCCCAAAGAAATCCTCAGAGAGGTCCAAATGTCCACCTGCAGATTCTACCAAAAGTGTATTTGGAAACTGCTCCATCAACAGGCATGTTCAGCTCTGTGAGTGAAACTCCATCATCACAAAGAATATTCTGAGAATGCTTCCGTTTGCCTTTTATATGAAGTTCCTTCCTATACGACCGTAGGCCTCAAAGCAGTCCAAATCTCCATTTGCAGATTCTACAAAAAGAGTGATTCCAATCTGCTCTATCAATAGGATTGTTCAACTCCATGAGTTGAATGCCATCCTCACAAAGTCGTTTCTGAGAATGCTTCTATCTAGTTTTTATGTGAAGATATTTCCTTTTCCACCACAGGCCTCAAAGCCCTCCAAACGTCCACTTGCAGATTCTCGAAAAAGAGTGTTTCATAGCTGCTCTTTCAAAAGGAAAGTTCAACTCTGGGAGTTGAATACAAACATCACAAAGTAGTTTCCGAGAATGCTTCTGTTTAGTTTTTATGTGAAGATGATCCCGTTTCCAGTGAAATCTTCAAAGAGGTCCACATATCCCCTTGCAGATTCCAAAGAAAGAGGGTTTCAAAACTGCTCCATCAGAAGGATTGTTCAACTCTGTGAGTTGAATGCAGTCATCGCAGAAAACTTTCTGAGAATGCTTCTGTCTAGGTTTGATGTGAAGATATAGACGTTTCAAACGAAGGCTACAAAGTGGTCAAAATATACACTTGCAGATTCTACTACAAGGGTGTTGCAAACCTGAACTATCAAAGGAAGGTTCAACTCTGTGAGTTGAATACAAACATCACAAAGAATGTTCTGAGTTTGCTTCCGTTCAGTTATGGGAAGTTGATCCCGTTTCCAACGAAATCCTCAGAGAGGTCCAAATATCCCCTCGCAGATTCTACAAAACGTGTGTTTGGAAACTGCTCCATCATAACGAATGTTCAGCTCCCTGAGTTAAACTCCATCGTCACAAAGAATTTTCTGAGAGTGCTACCGTCTGGTTTTTATATGAAGTTCTTTCCTTCACTACCACAGGCCTCAAAGCGGTCCAAATCTCCACTTGCAGATTCTACAAAAAGAGTGTTTGCAAACTGCTCTATCAAAAGGAATGTTCAACTCTGGGAGTTGAATGCAATCATCACAGAGCAGTTTCTGAGAATGCTTCTATGTCGTTTTTAGGAGAAGATATTTCCTTTTCCAACACAGTCCTCCAAGCCCGCTAAATAGCCACTTGCACATTGTAGAAAAAGTGTGTCAAAGCTGCGCTATCAAAGGGAAAGTTCAACTCTGTGAGGTGAATGCAAACATCCCAAAGAAGTTTCTGAGAATGCTTCCGTTTAGCTTTTAGGTGAAGATTATCCCGTTTCCAACGAAACCTTCAAAGAGGTCCAAATATCCCCTTGCGGATCCCACAGAAAGAGTGTTTCGAAACTGCTGTTTCAAAAGGAATCTTCAACTCTGTGAGTTGAATGCAATCATCACAAAGAAGTTTCTGACAATGCTTCTCTCTCGTCTTTCTGTGAAGATAAAGGAAAAGGCTTTCAGGCCTTTTCCACCACAGGCCTGAAAGCGCTCCAAATGTCCACTTGCAGATTCTGCGAAAAGAATATTTCAAAACTGCTCTATGAAAAGCAATGTTAAACTCTGTGGCTCGAACACAAACATCACAAAGCAGTTTCTGAGAATGCTTCAGTTTAGTTTTTCTGTGGAAATATTCCCGTTTCCAAAGAAATCTTCAAAGAGGTCCACGTATCCACTTACAGATTCTACAAAAAGACAGTTTCAAAACTGCTCCATCAAAAGGAGGGTTCAACTGTGTGACTTGAATGCAATCATCACTCAGAAGTTTCTGAGAATGCTTCTCTTTAGTTTTTACGTGAACATATACCCGTTTCGAACGAAGGCCAGCCAGTGGTCCAAATATCCACTTGCAGATTCTACAGAAAGAGTGTTTCGAACCTGAACTCTCAAAGGCAGGTTCATCTCTGCGAGTTAAATGCATTCATCATGAAGAACTTTCTCAGAGTGTTTCCGTTTGCTTTTTATATGAAGTTCCTTCCTATACTACCGTAGGCCTCAAAGCAGTCCAAATCTCCATTTACAGATTCTACAAAAAGAGTGTTTCCAATCTGCTCTATCAATAGGATTGTTCAACTCCGTGAGTTGAATGCCATCCTCACAAAGTAGTTTCTGAGAATGCTTCTATGTAGTTTTTATGTGAAGATATTTCCTTTTCCACCACAGGCCTCAAAGCCCTCCAAACGTCCACTTGCAGATTCTCGAAAAAGAGTGTTTCATAGCTGCTCTTTCAAAAGGAAAGTTCAACTCTGGGAGTTGAATACAAACATCACAAAGTAGTTTCCGAGAATGCTTCTGTTTAGTTCTTATGTGAAGATGATCCCGTTTCCAGTGAAATCTTCAAAGAGGTCCACATATCCCCTTGCAGATTCCAAAGAAAGAGGGTTTCAAAACTGCTCCATCAAAAGGATTGTTCAACTCTGTGAGTTGAATGCAGTCATCGCAGAAAACTTTCTGAGAATGCTTCTGTCTAGGTTTGATGTGAAGATATAGACGTTTCAAACGAAGGCTACAAAGTGGTCAAAATATACACTTGCAGATTCTACTACAAGGGTGTTGCAAACCTCAACTATCAAAGGAAGGTTCAACTCTGTGAGACGAATGCAAACATCACAAAGAATGTTCTGAGTTTGCTTCCGTTCAGTTATGGGAAGTTGATCCCGTTTCCAACGAAATCCTCAGAGAGGTCCAAATATCCCCTTGCAGATTCTACAAAACGTGTGTTTGGAAACTGCTCCATCATAACGAATGTTCAGCTCTCTGAGTTAAACTCCATCGTCACAAAGAATTTTCTGAGAGTGCTACCGTCTACTTTTTATATGAAGTTCTTTCCTTTACTACCACAGGCCTCAAAGCGGTCCAAATCTCCACTTGCAGATTCTACAAAAAGAGTGTTTGCAAACTGCTCTATCAAAAGGAATGTTCAACTCTGGGAGTTGAATGCAATCATCACAGAGCAGTTTCTGAGAATGCTTCTATGTCGTTTTTAGGAGAAGATATTTCCTTTTCCAACACAGTCCTCCAAGCCCGCTAAATATCCACTTGCACATTGTAGAAAAAGTGTGTCGAAGCTGCGCTATCAAAGGGAAAGTTCAACTCTGTGAGGTGAATGCAAACATCCCAAAGAAGTTTCTGAGAATGCTTCCGTTTAGCTTTAAGTGAAGATTATCCCGTTTCCAACGAAATCTTCAAAGAGGTCCAAATATCCCCTTGCGGATCCCACAGAAAGAGTGTTTCGAAACTGCTGTTTCAAAAGGAATCTTCAACTCTGTGAGTTGAATGCAATCATCACAAAGAAGTTTCTGACAATGCTTCTCTCTCGTCTTTCTGTGAAGATAAAGGAAAAGGCTTTCAGGCCATTTCCACCACAGGCCTGAAAGCGCTCCAAATGTCCACTTGCAGATTCTGCCAAAAGAATATTTCAAAACTGCTCTATGAAAAGCAATGTTAAACTCTGCGGCTCGAACACAAACATCACAAAGCAGTTTCTGAGAATGCTTCAGTTTAGTTTTTCTGTGGAAATATTCCCGTTTCCAAAGAAATCTTCAAAGAGGTCCACGCATCCACTTACAGATTCTACAAAAAGACAGTTTCAAAACTGCTCAATCAAAAGGAGGGTTCAACTGTGTGACTTGAATGCATTCATCACTCAGAAGTTTCTGAGAACGCTTCTCTTTAGTTTTTACGTGAACATATACCCGTTTCGAACGAAGGCCAGCCAGTGGTCCAAATATCCACTTGCAGATTCTACAGAAAGAGTGTTTTGAACCTGAACTCTCAAAGGCAGGTTCATCTCTGCGAGTTAAATGCATTCATCATGAAGAACTTTCTCAGCGTGTTTGTGTTTAGTTATGGGAAATTATTCCCGTTTCCAACGAAATCCTCAGAGAGCTCCAAATATCCACCTGCAGATTCTACCAAAAGTGTATTTGGAAACTGCTCCATGAAAAGGCATGTTCAGCTCTGTGAGTGAAACTCCGTCATCACAAAGAATATTCTGAGAATGCTTCCGTTTGCCTTTTATATGAAGTTCCTTCCTATACTACCGTAGGCCTCAAAGCAGTCCAAATCTCCATTTGCAGATTCTACAAAAAGAGTGATTCCAATCTGCTCTATCAATAGGATTGTTCAACTCCATGAGTTGAATGCCATCCTCACAAAGTAGTTTCTGAGAATGCTTCTATGTAGTTTTTAAGTGAAGATATTTCCTTTTCCACCACAGGCCTCAAAGCCCTCCAAACGTCCACTTGCAGATTCCCGAAAAAGAGTGTTTCATAGCTGCTCTTTCAAAAGGAAAGTTCAACTCTGGGAGTTGAATACAAACATCACAAAGTAGTTTCCGAGAATGCTTCTGTTTAGTTCTTATGTGAAGATGATCCCGTTTCCAGTGAAATCTTCAAAGAGGTCCACATATCCCCTTGCAGATTCCAAAGAAAGAGGGTTTCAAAACTGCTCCATCAAAAGGATTGTTCAACTCTGTGAGTTGAATGCAGTCATCGCAGAAAACTTTCTGAGAATGCTTCTGTCTAGGTTTGATGTGAAGATATAGACGTTTCAAACGAAGGCTACAAAGTGGTCAAAATATACACTTGCAGATTCTACTACAAGGGTGTTGCAAACCTCAACTATCAAAGGAAGGTTCAACTCTGTGAGACGAATGCAAACATCACAAAGAATGTTCTGAGTTTGCTTCCGTTCAGTTATGGGAAGTTGATCCCGTTTCCAACGAAATCCTCAGAGAGGTCCAAATATCCCCTTGCAGATTCTACAAAACGTGTGTTTGGAAACTGCTCCATCATAACGAATGTTCAGCTCTCTGAGTTAAACTCCATCGTCACAAAGAATTTTCTGAGAGTGCTACCGTCTACTTTTTATATGAAGTTCTTTCCTTTACTACCACAGGCCTCAAAGCGGTCCAAATCTCCACTTGCAGATTCTACAAAAAGAGTGTTTGCAAACTGCTCTATCAAAAGGAATGTTCAACTCTGGGAGTTGAATGCAATCATCACAGAGCAGTATCTGAGAATGCTTCTATGTCGTTTTTAGGAGAAGATATTTCCTTTTCCAACACAGTCCTCCAAGCCCGCTAAATATCCACTTGCACATTGTAGAAAAAGTGTGTCGAAGCTGCGCTATCAAAGGGAAAGTTCAACTCTGTGAGGTGAATGCAAACATCCCAAAGAAGTTTCTGAGAATGCTTCCGTTTTGCTTTAAGTGAAGATTATCCCGTTTCCAACGAAATCTTCAAAGAGGTCCAAATATCCCCTTGCGGATCCCACAGAAAGAGTGTTTCGAAACTGCTGTTTCAAAAGGAATCTTCAACTCTGTGAGTTGAATGCAATCATCACAAAGAAGTTTCTGACAATGCTTCTCTCTCGTCTTTCTGTGAAGATAAAGGAAAAGGCTTTCAGGCCATTTCCACCACAGGCCTGAAAGCGCTCCAAATGTCCACTTGCAGATTCTGCCAAAAGAATATTTCAAAACTGCTCTATGAAAAGCAATGTTAAACTCTGCGGCTCGAACACAAACATCACAAAGCAGTTTCTGAGAATGCTTCAGTTTAGTTTTTCTGTGGAAATATTCCCGTTTCCAAAGAAATCTTCAAAGAGGTCCATGCATCCACTTACAGATTCTACAAAAAGACAGTTTCAAAACTGCTCAATCAAAAGGAGGGTTCAACTGTGTGACTTGAATGCATTCATCACTCAGAAGTTTCTGAGAACGCTTCTCTTTAGTTTTTACGTGAACATATACCCGTTTCGAACGAAGGCCAGCCAGTGGTCCAAATATCCACTTGCAGATTCTACAGAAAGAGTGTTTTGAACCTGAACTCTCAAAGGCAGGTTCATCTCTGCGAGTTAAATGCATTCATCATGAAGAACTTTCTCAGCGTGTTTGTGTTTAGTTATGGGAAATTATTCCCGTTTCCAACGAAATCCTCAGAGAGCTCCAAATATCCACCTGCAGATTGTACCAAAAGTGTATTTGGAAACTGCTCCATGAAAAGGCATGTTCAGCTCTGTGAGTGAAACTCCGTCATCACAAAGAATATTCTGAGAATGCTTCCGTTTGCCTTTTATATGAAGTTCCTTCCTATACTACCGTAGGCCTCAAAGCAGTCCAAATCTCCATTTGCAGATTCTACAAAAAGAGTGATTCCAATCTGCTCTATCAATAGGATTGTTCAACTCCATGAGTTGAATGCCATCCTCACAAAGTAGTTTCTGAGAATGCTTCTATGTAGTTTTTAAGTGAAGATATTTCCTTTTCCACCACAGGCCTCAAAGCCCTCCAAACGTCCACTTGCAGATTCCCGAAAAAGAGTGTTTCATAGCTGCTCTTTCAAAAGGAAAGTTCAACTCTGGGAGTTGAATACAAACATCACAAAGTAGTTTCCGAGAATGCTTCTGTTTAGTTCTTATGTGAAGATGATCCCGTTTCCAGTGAAATCTTCAAAGAGGTCCACATATCCCCTTGCAGATTCCAAAGAAAGAGGGTTTCAAAACTGCTCCATCAAAACGATTGTTCAACTCTGTGAGTTGAATGCAGTCATCGCAGAAAACTTTCTGAGAATGCTTCTGTCTAGGTTTGATGTGAAGATATAGACGTTTCAAACGAAGGCTACAAAGTGGTCAAAATATACACTTGCAGATTCTACTACAAGGGTGTTGCAAACCTCAACTATCAAAGGAAGGTTCAACTCTGTGAGACGAATGCAAACATCACAAAGAATGTTCTGAGTTTGCTTCCGTTCAGTTATGGGAAGTTGATCCCGTTTCCAACGAAATCCTCAGAGAGGTCCAAATATCCCCTTGCAGATTCTACAAAACGTGTGTTTGGAAACTGCTCCATCATAACGAATGTTCAGCTCTCTGAGTTAAACTCCATCGTCACAAAGAATTTTCTGAGAGTGCTACCGTCTACTTTTTATATGAAGTTCTTTCCTTTACTACCACAGGCCTCAAAGCGGTCCAAATCTCCACTTGCAGATTCTACAAAAAGAGTGTTTGCAAATTGCTCTATCAAAAGGAATGTTCAACTCTGGGAGTTGAATGCAATCATCACAGAGCAGTTTCTGAGAATGCTTCTATGTCGTTTTTAGGAGAAGATATTTCCTTTTCCAACACAGTCCTCCAAGCCCGCTAAATATCCACTTGCACATTGTAGAAAAAGTGTGTCGAAGCTGCGCTATCAAAGGGAAAGTTCAACTCTGTGAGGTGAATGCAAACATCCCAAAGAAGTTTCTGAGAATGCTTCCGTTTAGCTTTAAGTGAAGATTATCCCGTTTCCAACGAAATCTTCAAAGAGGTCCAAATATCCCCTTGCGGATCCCACAGAAAGAGTGTTTCGAAACTGCTGTTTCAAAAGGAATCTTCAACTCTGTGAGTTGAATGCAATCATCACAAAGAAGTTTCTGACAATGCTTCTCTCTCGTCTTTCTGTGAAGATAAAGGAAAAGGCTTTCAGGCCATTTCCACCACAGGCCTGAAAGCGCTCCAAATGTCCACTTGCAGATTCTGCCAAAAGAATATTTCAAAACTGCTCTATGAAAAGCAATGTTAAACTCTGCGGCTCGAACACAAACATCACAAAGCAGTTTCTGAGAATGCTTCAGTTTAGTTTTTCTGTGGAAATATTCCCGTTTCCAAAGAAATCTTCAAAGAGGTCCACGCATCCACTTACAGATTCTACAAAAAGACAGTTTCAAAACTGCTCAATCAAAAGGAGGGTTCAACTGTGTGACTTGAATGCATTCATCACTCAGAAGTTTCTGAGAACGCTTCTCTTTAGTTTTTACGTGAACATATACCCGTTTCGAACGAAGGCCAGCCAGTGGTCCAAATATCCACTTGCAGATTCTACAGAAAGAGTGTTTTGAACCTGAACTCTCAAAGGCAGGTTCATCTCTGCGAGTTAAATGCATTCATCATGAAGAACTTTCTCAGCGTGTTTGTGTTTAGTTATGGGAAATTATTCCCGTTTCCAACGAAATCCTCAGAGAGCTCCAAATATCCACCTGCAGATTCTACCAAAAGTGTATTTGGAAACTGCTCCATCAAAAGGCATGTTCAGCTCTGTGAGTGAAACTCCATCATCACAAAGAATATTCTGAGAATGCTTCCGTTTGCCTTTTATATGAAGTTCCTTCCTATACTACCGTAGGCCTCAAAGCAGTCCAAATCTCCATTTGCAGATTCTACAAAAAGAGTGATTCCAATCTGCTCTATCAATAGGATTGTTCAACTCCATGAGTTGAATGCCATCCTCACAAAGTAGTTTCTGAGAATGCTTCTATCTAGTTTTTATGTGAAGATATTTCCTTTTCCACCACAGGCCTCAAAGCCCTCCAAACGTCCACTTGCAGATTCTCGAAAAAGAGTGTTTCATAGCTGCTCTTTCAAAAGGAAATTTCAACTCTGGGAGTTGAATACAAACATCACAAAGAATGTTCTGAGTTTGCTTCCGTTCAGTTATGGGAAGTTGATCCCGTTTCCAACGAAATCCTCAGAGAGGTCCAAATATCCCCTTGCAGATTCTACAAAACGTGTGTTCGGAAACTGCTCCATCATAACGAATGTTCAGCTCCCTGAGTTAAACTCCATCGTCACAAAGAATTTTCTGAGAGTGCTACCGTCTGTTTTTTATATGAAGCTCTTTCCTTTACTACCCCAGTCCTCAAAGCGGTCCAAATCTCCACTTGCAGATTCTACAAAAAGAGTGTTTGCAAACTGCTCTATCAAAAGGAATGTTCAACTCTGGGAGTTGAATGCAATCATCACAGAGCAGTTTCTGAGAATGCTTCTATGTCGTTTTTAGGAGAAGATATTTCCTTTTCCAACACAGTCCTCCAAGCCCGCTAAATAGCCACTTGCACATTGTAGAAAAAGTGTGTCAAAGCTGCGCTATCAAAGGGAAAGTTCAACTCTGTGAGGTGAATGCAAACATCCCAAAGAAGTTTCTGAGAATGCTTCCGTTTAGCTTTTAGGTGAAGATTATCCCGTTTCCAACGAAACCTTCAAAGAGGTCCAAATATCCCCTTGCGGATCCCACAGAAAGAGTGTTTCGAAACTGCTGTTTCAAAAGGAATCTTCAACTCTGTGAGTTGAATGCAATCATCACAAAGAAGTTTCTGACAATGCTTCTCTCTCGTCTTTCTGTGAAGATAAAGGAAAAGGCTTTCAGGCCTTTGCCACCACAGGCCTGAAAGCGGTCCAAATGTCCACTTGCAGATTCTGCCAAAAGAATATTTCAAAACTGCTCTATGAAAAGCAATGTTAAACTCTGCGGCTCGAACACAAACATCACAAAGCGGTTTCTGAGAATGCTTCAGTTTAGTTTTTCTGTGGAAATATTCCCGTTTTCAAAGAAATCTTCAAAGAGGTCCACGTATCCACTTACAGATTCTACAAAAAGACAGTTTCAAAACTGCTCCATCAAAAGGAGGGTTCAACTGTGTGACTTGAATGCAATCATCACTCAGAAGTTTCTGAGAATGCTTCTCTTTAGTTTTTACGTGAACATATACCCGTTTCGAACGAAGGCCAGCCAGTGGTCCAAATATCCACTTGCAGATTCTACAGAAAGAGTGTTTCAAACCTGAACTCTCAAAGGCAGGTTCATCTCTGCGAGTTAAATGCATTCATCATGAAGAACTTTCTCAGAGTGTCTGTGTTTAGTTATGGGAAATTATTCCCGTTTCCAACGAAATCCTCAGAGAGCTCCAAATATCCACCTGCAGATTCTACCAAAAGTGTATTTGGAAACTGCTCCATCAAAAGGCATGTTCAGCTCTGTGAGTGAAACTCCATCATCACAAAGAATATTCTGAGAATGCTTCCGTTTGCCTTTTATATGAAGTTCCTTCCTATACGACCGTAGGCCTCAAAGCAGTCCAAATCTCCATTTGCAGATTCTACAAAAAGAGTGATTCCAATCTGCTCTATCAATAGGATTGTTCAACTCCATGAGTTGAATGCCATCCTCACAAAGTCGTTTCTGAGAATGCTTCTATCTAGTTTTTATGTGAAGATATTTCCTTTTCCACCACAGGCCTCAAAGCCCTCCAAACGTCCACTTGCAGATTCTCGAAAAAGAGTGTTTCATAGCTGCTCTTTCAAAAGGAAAGTTCAACTCTGGGAGTTGAATACAAACATCACAAAGTAGTTTCCGAGAATGCTTCTGTTTAGTTTTTATGTGAAGATGATCCCGTTTCCAGTGAAATCTTCAAAGAGGTCCACATATCCCCTTGCAGATTCCAAAGAAAGAGGGTTTCAAAACTGCTCCATCAGAAGGATTGTTCAACTCTGTGAGTTGAATGCAGTCATCGCAGAAAACTTTCTGAGAATGCTTCTGTCTAGGTTTGATGTGAAGATATAGACGTTTCAAACGAAGGCTACAAAGTGGTCAAAATATACACTTGCAGATTCTACTACAAGGGTGTTGCAAACCTGAACTATCAAAGGAAGGTTCAACTCTGTGAGTTGAATACAAACATCACAAAGAATGTTCTGAGTTTGCTTCCGTTCAGTTATGGGAAGTTGATCCCGTTTCCAACGAAATCCTCAGAGAGGTCCAAATATCCCCTTGCAGATTCTACAAAACGTGTGTTTGGAAACTGCTCCATCATAACGAATGTTCAGCTCCCTGAGTTAAACTCCATCGTCACAAAGAATTTTCTGAGAGTGCTACCGTCTGGTTTTTATATGAAGTTCTTTCCTTCACTACCACAGACCTCAAAGCGGTCCAAATCTCCACTTGCAGATTCTACAAAAAGAGTGATTCCAATCTGCTCTATCAATAGGATTGTTCAACTCCATGAGTTGAATGCCATCCTCACAAAGTAGTTTCTGAGAATGCTTCTATCTGGTTTTTGTGTGAAGATATTTCCTTTTCCACCACAGGCCTCAAAGCCCTCCAAACGTCCACTTGCAGATTCTCGAAAAAGAGTGTTTCATAGCTGCTCTTTCAAAAGGAAAGTTCAACTCTGGGAGTTGAATACAAACATCACAAAATAGTTTCCGAGAATGCTTCTGTTTAGTTTTTATGTGAAGATGATCCCGTTTCCAGTGAAATCTTCAAAGAGGTCCACATATCCCCTTGCAGATTCCAAAGAAAGAGGGTTTCAAAACTGCTCCATCAGAAGGATTGTTCAACTCTGTGAGTTGAATGCAGTCATGGCAGAAAACTTTCTGAGAATGCTTCTGTCTAGGTTTGATGTGAAGATATAGACGTTTCAAACGAAGGCTACAAAGTGGTCAAAATATACACTTGCAGATTCTACTACAAGGGTGTTGCAAACCTGAACTATCAAAGGAAGGTTCAACTCTGTGAGTTGAATACAGACGTCACAAAGAATGTTCTGAGTTTGCTTCCGTTCAGTTATGGGAAGTTGATCCCGTTTCCAACGAAATCCTCAGAGAGGTCCAAATATCCCCTCGCAGATTCTACAAAACGTGTGTTTGGAAACTGCTCCATCATAACGAATGTTCAGCTCCCTGAGTTAAACTCCATCGTCACAAAGAATTTTCTGAGAGTGCTACCGTCTGGTTTTTATATGAAGTTCTTTCCTTCACTACCACAGGCCTCAAAGCGGTCCAAATCTCCACTTGCAGATTCTACAAAAAGAGTGTTTGCAAACTGCTCTATCAAAAGGAATGTTCAACTCTGGGAGTTGAATGCAATCATCACAGAGCAGTTTCTGAGAATGCTTCTATGTCGTTTTTAGGAGAAGATATTTCCTTTTCCAACACAGTCCTCCAAGCCCGCTAAATAGCCACTTGCACATTGTAGAAAAAGTGTGTCAAAGCTGCGCTATCAAAGGGAAAGTTCAACTCTGTGAGGTGAATGCAAACATCCCAAAGAAGTTTCTGAGAATGCTTCCGTTTAGCTTTTAGGTGAAGATTATCCCGTTTCCAACGAAACCTTCAAAGAGGTCCAAATATCCCCTTGTGGATCCCACAGAAAGAGTGTTTCGAAACTGCTGTTTCAAAAGGAATCTTCAACTCTGTGAGTTGAATGCAATCATCACAAAGAAGTTTCTGACAATGCTTCTCTCTCGTCTTTCTGTGAAGATAAAGGAAAAGGCTTTCAGGCCTTTTCCACCACAGGCCTGAAAGCGCTCCAAATGTCCACTTGCAGATTCTGCCAAAAGAATATTTCAAAACTGCTCTATGAAAAGCAATGTTAAACTCTGTGGCTCGAACACAAACATCACAAAGCAGTTTCTGAGAATGCTTCAGTTTAGTTTTTCTGTGGAAATATTCCCGTTTCCAAAGAAATCTTCAAAGAGGTCCACGTATCCACTTACAGATTCTACAAAAAGACAGTTTCAAAACTGCTCCATCAAAAGGAGGGTTCAACTGTGTGACTTGAATGCAATCATCACTCAGAAGTTTCTGAGAATGCTTCTCTTTAGTTTTTACGTGAACATATACCCGTTTCGAACGAAGGCCACCCAGTGGTCCAAATATCCACTTGCAGATTCTACAGAAAGAGTGTTTCGAACCTGAACTCTCAAAGGCAGGTTCATCTCTGCGAGTTAAATGCATTCATCATGAAGAACTTTCTCAGAGTGTTTGTGTTTAGTTATGGGAAATTATTCCCGTTTCCAACGAAATCCTCAGAGAGCTCCAAATATCCACCTGCAGATTCTACCAAAAGTGTATTTGGAAACTGCTCCATCAAAAGGCATGTTCAGCTCTGTGAGTGAAACTCCATCATCACAAAGAATATTCTGAGAATGCTTCCGTTTGCCTTTTATATGAAGTTCCTTCCTATACGACCGTAGGCCTCAAAGCAGTCCAAATCTCCATTTGCAGATTCTACAAAAAGAGTGATTCCAATCTGCTCTATCAATAGGATTGTTCAACTCCATGAGTTGAATGCCATCCTCACAAAGTCGTTTCTGAGAATGCTTCTATCTGGTTTTTGTGTGAAGATATTTCCTTTTCCACCACAGGCCTCAAAGCCCTCCAAACGTCCACTTGCAGATTCTCGAAAAAGAGTGTTTCATAGCTGCTCTTTCAAAAGGAAAGTTCAACTCTGGGAGTTGAATACAAACATCACAAAATAGTTTCCGAGAATGCTTCTGTTTAGTTTTTATGTGAAGATGATCCCGTTTCCAGTGAAATCTTCAAAGAGGTCCACATATCCCCTTGCAGATTCCAAAGAAAGAGGGTTTCAAAACTGCTCCATCAGAAGGATTGTTCAACTCTGTGAGTTGAATGCAGTCATCCCAGAAAACTTTCTGAGAATGCTTCTGTCTAGGTTTGATGTGAAGATATAGACGTTTCAAACGAAGGCTACAAAGTGGTCAAAATATACACTTGCAGATTCTACTACAAGGGTGTTGCAAACCTGAACTATCAAAGGAAGGTTCAACTCTGTGAGTTGAATACAAACATCACAAAGAATGTTCTGAGTTTGCTTCCGTTCAGTTATGGGAAGTTGATCCCGTTTCCAACGAAATCCTCAGAGAGGTCCAAATATCCCCTCACAGATTCTACAAAACGTGTGTTTGGAAACTGCTCCATCATAACGAATGTTCAGCTCCCTGAGTTAAACTCCATCGTCACAAAGAATTTTCTGATAGTGCTACCGTCTGGTTTTTATATGAAGTTCTTTCCTTCACTACCACAGGCCTCAAAGCGGTCCAAATCTCCACTTGCAGATTCTACAAAAAGAGTGTTTGCAAACTGCTCTATCAAAAGGAATGTTCAACTCTGGGAGTTGAATGCAATCATCACAGAGCAGTTTCTGAGAATGCTTCTATGTCGTTTTTAGGAGAAGATATTTCCTTTTCCAACACAGTCCTCCAAGCCCGCTAAATAGCCACTTGCACATTGTAGAAAAAGTGTGTCAAAGCTGCGCTATCAAAGGGAAAGTTCAACTCTGTGAGGTGAATGCAAACATCCCAAAGAAGTTTCTGAGAATGCTTCCGTTTAGCTTTTAGGTGAAGATTATCCCGTTTCCAACGAAACCTTCAAAGAGGTCCAAATATCCCCTTGCGGATCCCACAGAAAGAGTGTTTCGAAACTGCTGTTTCAAAAGGAATCTTCAACTCTGTGAGTTGAATGCAATCATCACAAAGAAGTTTCTGACAATGCTTCTCTCTCGTCTTTCTGTGAAGATAAAGGAAAAGGCTTTCAGGCCTTTTCCACCCACAGGCCTGAAAGCGCTCCAAATGTCCACTTGCAGATTCTGCGAAAAGAATATTTCAAAACTGCTCTATGAAAAGCAATGTTAAACTCTGTGGCTCGAACACAAACATCACAAAGCGGTTTCTGAGAATGCTTCAGTTTAGTTTTTCTGTGGAAATATTCCCGTTTCCAAAGAAATCTTCAAAGAGGTCCACGCATCCACTTACAGATTCTACAAAAAGACAGTTTCAAAACTGCTCCATCAAAAGGAGGGTTCAACTGTGTGACTTGAATGCAATCATCACTCAGAAGTTTCTGAGAATGCTTCTCTTTAGTTTTTACGTGAACATATACCCGTTTCGAACGAAGGCCACCCAGTGGTCCAAATATCCACTTGCAGATTATACAGAAAGAGTGTTTCGAACCTGAACTCTCAAAGGCAGGTTCATCTCTGCGAGTTAAATGCATTCATCATGAAGAACTTTCTCAGAGTGTTTGTGTTTAGTTATGGGAAATTATTCCCGTTTCCAACGAAATCCTCAGAGAGCTCCAAATATCCACCTGCAGATTCTACCAAAAGTGTATTTGGAAACTGCTCCATCAAAAGGCATGTTCAGCTCTGTGAGTGAAACTCCATCATCACAAAGAATATTCTGAGAATGCTTCCGTTTGCCTTTTATATGAAGTTCCTTCCTGTACTACCGTAGGCCTCAAAGCAGTCCAAATCTCCATTTGCAGATTCTACAAAAAGAGTGATTCCAATCTGCTCTATCAATAGGATTGTTCAACTCCATGAGTTGAATGCCATCCTCACAAAGTAGTTTCTGAGAATGCTTCTATCTGGTTTTTGTGTGAAGATATTTCCTTTTCCACCACAGGCCTCAAAGCCCTCCAAACGTCCACTTGCAGATTCTCGAAAAAGAGTGTTTCATAGCTGCTCTTTCAAAAGGAAAGTTCAACTCTGGGAGTTGAATACAAACATCACAAAATAGTTTCTGAGAATGCTTCTGTTTAGTTTTTATGTGAAGATGATCCCGTTTCCAGTGAAATCTTCAAAGAGGTCCACATATCCCCTTGCAGATTCCAAAGAAAGAGGGTTTCAAAACTGCTCCATCAGAAGGATTGTTCAACTCTGTGAGTTGAATGCAGTCATCGCAGAAAACTTTCTGAGAATGCTTCTGTCTAGGTTTGATGTGAAGATATAGACGTTTCAAACGAAGGCTACAAAGTGGTCAAAATATACACTTGCAGATTCTACTACAAGGGTGTTGCAAACCTGAACTATCAAAGGAAGGTTCAACTCTGTGAGTTGAATACAAACATCACAAAGAATGTTCTGAGTTTGCTTCCGTTCAGTTATGGGAAGTTGATCCCGTTTCCAACGAAATCCTCAGAGAGGTCCAAATATCCCCTTGCAGATTCTACAAAACGTGTGTTTGGAAACTGCTCCATCATAACGAATGTTCAGCTCCCTGAGTTAAACTCCATCGTCACAAAGAATTTTCTGAGAGTGCTACCGTCTGGTTTTTATATGAAGTTCTTTCCTTCACTACCACAGGCCTCAAAGCGGTCCAAATCTCCACTTGCAGATTCTACAAAAAGAGTGTTTGCAAACTGCTCTATCAAAAGGAATGTTCAACTCTGGGAGTTGAATGCAATCATCACAGAGCAGTTTCTGAGAATGCTTCTATGTCGTTTTTAGGAGAAGATATTTCCTTTTCCAACACAGTCCTCCAAGCCCGCTAAATAGCCACTTGCACATTGTAGAAAAAGTGTGTCAAAGCTGCGCTATCAAAGGGAAAGTTCAACTCTGTGAGGTGAATGCAAACATCCCAAAGAAGTTTCTGAGAATGCTTCCGTTGAGCTTTTAGGTGAAGATTATCCCGTTTCCAACGAAACCTTCAAAGAGGTCCAAATATCCCCTTGCGGATCCCACAGAAAGAGTGTTTCGAAACTGCTGTTTCAAAAGGAATCTTCAACTCTGTGAGTTGAATGCAATCATCACAAAGAAGTTTCTGACAATGCTTCTCTCTCGTCTTTCTGTGAAGATAAAGGAAAAGGCTTTCAGGCCTTTTCCACCACAGGCCTGAAAGCGCTCCAAATGTCCACTTGCAGATTCTGCCAAAAGAATATTTCAAAACTGCTCTATGAAAAGCAATGTTAAACTCTGTGGCTCGAACACAAACATCACAAAGCGGTTTCTGAGAATGCTTCAGTTTAGTTTTTCTGTGGAAATATTCCCGTTTCCAAAGAAATCTTCAAAGAGGTCCACGTATCCACTTACAGATTCTACAAAAAGACAGTTTCAAAACTGCTCCATCAAAAGGAGGGTTCAACTGTGTGACTTGAATGCAATCATCACTCAGAAGTTTCTGAGAATGCTTCTCTTTAGTTTTTACGTGAACATATACCCGTTTCGAACGAAGGCCAGCCAGTGGTCCAAATATCCACTTGCAGATTCTACAGAAAGAGTGTTTCGAACCTGAACTCTCAAAGGCAGGTTCATCTCTGCGAGTTAAATGCATTCATCATGAAGAACTTTCTCAGAGTGTTTGTGTTTAGTTATGGGAAATTATTCCCGTTTCCAACGAAATCCTCAGAGAGCTCCAAATATCCACCTGCAGATTCTACCAAAAGTGTATTTGGAAACTGCTCCATCAAAAGGCATGTTCAGCTCTGTGAGTGAAACTCCATCATCACAAAGAATATTCTGAGAATGCTTCCGTTTGCCTTTTATATGAAGTTCCTTCCTATACGACCGTAGGCCTCAAAGCAGTCCAAATCTCCATTTGCAGATTCTACAAAAAGAGTGATTCCAATCTGCTCTATCAATAGGATTGTTCAACTCCATGAGTTGAATGCCATCCTCACAAAGTAGTTTCTGAGAATGCTTCTATCTGGTTTTTGTGTGAAGATATTTCCTTTTCCACCACAGGCCTCAAAGCCCTCCAAACGTCCACTTGCAGATTCTCGAAAAAGAGTGTTTCATAGCTGCTCTTTCAAAAGGAAAGTTCAACTCTGGGAGTTGAATACAAACATAACAAAGTAGTTTCCGAGAATGCTTCTGTTTAGTTTTTATGTGAAGATGATCCCGTTTCCAGTGAAATCTTCAAAGAGGTCCACATATCCCCTTGCAGATTCCAAAGAAAGAGGGTTTCAAAACTGCTCCATCAGAAGGATTGTTCAACTCTGTGAGTTGAATGCAGTCATCGCAGAAAACTTTCTGAGAATGCTTCTGTCTAGGTTTGATGTGAAGATATAGACGCTTCAAACGAAGGGTACAAAGTGGTCAAAATATACACTTGCAGATTCTACTACAAGGGTGTTACAAACCTGAACTATCAAAGGATGGTTCAACTCTGTGAGTTGAATACAAACATCACAAAGAATGTTCTGAGTTTGCTTCCGTTCAGTTATGGGAAGTTGATCCTGTTTCCAACGAAATCCTCAGAGAGGTCCAAATATCCCCTCGCAGATTCTACAAAACGTGTGTTTGGAAACTGCTCCATCATAACGAATGTTCAGCTCCCTGAGTTAAACTCCATCGTCACAAAGAATTTTCTGAGAGTGCTACCGTCTGGTTTTTATATGAAGTTCTTTCCTTCACTACCACAGGCCTCAAAGCGGTCCAAATCTCCACTTGCAGATTCTACAAAAAGAGTGTTTGCAAACTGCTCTATCAAAAGGAATGTTCAACTCTGGGAGTTGAATGCAATCATCACAGAGCAGTTTCTGAGAATGCTTCTATGTCGTTTTTAGGAGAAGATATTTCCTTTTCCAACACAGTCCTCCAAGCCCGCTAAATAGCCACTTGCACATTGTAGAAAAAGTGTGTCAAAGCTGCGCTATCAAAGGGAAAGTTGAACTCTGTGAGGTGAATGCAAACATCCCAAAGAAGTTTCTGAGAATGCTTCCGTTTAGCTTTTAGGTGAAGATTATCCCGTTTCCAACGAAACCTTCAAAGAGGTCCAAATATCCCCTTGCGGATCCCACAGAAAGAGTGTTTCGAAACTGCTGTTTCAAAAGGAATCTTCAACTCTGTGAGTTGAATGCAATCATCACAAAGAAGTTTCTGACAATGCTTCTCTCTCGTCTTTCTGTGAAGATAAAGGAAAAGGCTTTCAGGCCTTTTCCACCACAGGCCTGAAAGCGCTCCAAATGTCCACTTGCAGATTCTGTGAAAAGAATATTGCAAAACTGCTCTATGAAAAGCAATGTTAAACTCTGTGGCTCGAACACAAACATCACAAAGCAGTTTCTGAGAATGCTTCAGTTTAGTTTTTCTGTGGAAATATTCCCGTTTCCAAAGAAATCTTCAAAGAGGTCCACGTATCCACTTACAGATTCTACAAAAAGACAGTTTCAAAACTGCTCCATCAAAAGGAGGGTTCAACTGTGTGACTTGAATGCAATCATCACTCAGAAGTTTCTGAGAATGCTTCTCTTTAGTTTTTACGTGAACATATACCCGTTTCGAACGAAGGCCAGCCAGTGGTCCAAATATCCACTTGCAGATTCTACAGAAAGAGTGTTTCGAACCTGAACTCTCAAAGGCAGGTTCATCTCTGCGAGTTAAATGCATTCATCATGAAGAACTTTCTCAGAGTGTTTGTGTTTAGTTATGGGAAATTATTCCCGTTTCCAACGAAATCCTCAGAGAGCTCCAAATATCCACCTGCAGATTCTACCAAAAGTGTATTTGGAAACTGCTCCATCAAAAGGCATGTTCAGCTCTGTGAGTGAAACTCCATCATCACAAAGAATATTCTGAGAATGCTTCCGTTTGCCTTTTATATGAAGTTCCTTCCTATACGACCGTAGGCCTCAAAGCAGTCCAAATCTCCATTTGCAGATTCTACAAAAAGAGTGATTCCAATCTGCTCTATCAATAGGATTGTTCAACTCCATGAGTTGAATGCCATCCTCACAAAGTAGTTTCTGAGAATGCTTCTATCTGGTTTTTGTGTGAAGATATTTCCTTTTCCACCACAGGCCTCAAAGCCCTCCAAACGTCCACTTGCAGATTCTCGAAAAAGAGTGTTTCATAGCTGCTCTTTCAAAAGGAAAGTTCAACTCTGGGAGTTGAATACAAACATAACAAAGTAGTTTCCGAGAATGCTTCTGTTTAGTTTTTATGTGAAGATGATCCCGTTTCCAGTGAAATCTTCAAAGAGGTCCACATATCCCCTTGCAGATTCCAAAGAAAGAGGGTTTCAAAACTGCTCCATCAGAAGGATTGTTCAACTCTGTGAGTTGAATGCAGTCATCGCAGAAAACTTTCTGAGAATGCTTCTGTCTAGGTTTGATGTGAAGATATAGACGCTTCAAACGAAGGGTACAAAGTGGTCAAAATATACACTTGCAGATTCTACTACAAGGGTGTTACAAACCTGAACTATCAAAGGATGGTTCAACTCTGTGAGTTGAATACAAACATCACAAAGAATGTTCTGAGTTTGCTTCCGTTCAGTTATGGGAAGTTGATCCTGTTTCCAACGAAATCCTCAGAGAGGTCCAAATATCCCCTCGCAGATTCTACAAAACGTGTGTTTGGAAACTGCTCCATCATAACGAATGTTCAGCTCCCTGAGTTAAACTCCATCGTCACAAAGAATTTTCTGAGAGTGCTACCGTCTGGTTTTTATATGAAGTTCTTTCCTTCACTACCACAGGCCTCAAAGCGGTCCAAATCTCCACTTGCAGATTCTACAAAAAGAGTGTTTGCAAACTGCTCTATCAAAAGGAATGTTCAACTCTGGGAGTTGAATGCAATCATCACAGAGCAGTTTCTGAGAATGCTTCTATGTCGTTTTTAGGAGAAGATATTTCCTTTTCCAACACAGTCCTCCAAGCCCGCTAAATAGCCACTTGCACATTGTAGAAAAAGTGTGTCAAAGCTGCGCTATCAAAGGGAAAGTTCAACTCTGTGAGGTGAATGCAAACATCCCAAAGAAGTTTCTGAGAATGCTTCCGTTTAGCTTTTAGGTGAAGATTATCCCGTTTCCAACGAAACCTTCAAAGAGGTCCAAATATCCCCTTGCGGATCCCACAGAAAGAGTGTTTCGAAACTGCTGTTTCAAAAGGAATCTTCAACTCTGTGAGTTGAATGCAATCATCACAAAGAAGTTTCTGACAATGCTTCTCTCTCGTCTTTCTGTGAAGATAAAGGAAAAGGCTTTCAGGCCTTTTCCACCACAGGCCTGAAAGCGCTCCAAATGTCCACTTGCAGATTCTGCGAAAAGAATATTTCAAAACTGCTCTATGAAAAGCAATGTTAAACTCTGTGGCTCGAACACAAACATCACAAAGCGGTTTCTGAGAATGCTTCAGTTTAGTTTTTCTGTGGAAATATTCCCGTTTCCAAAGAAATCTTCAAAGAGGTCCACGTATCCACTTACAGATTCTACAAAAAGACAGTTTCAAAACTGCTCCATCAAAAGGAGGGTTCAACTGTGTGACTTGAATGCAATCATCACTCAGAAGTTTCTGAGAATGCTTCTCTTTAGTTTTTACGTGAACATATACCCGTTTCGAAAGAAGGCCACCCAGTGGTCCAAATATCCACTTGCAGATTCTACAGAAAGTGTGTTTCGAACCTGAACTCTCAAAGGCAGGTTCATCTCTGCGAGTTAAATGCATTCATCATGAAGAACTTTCTCAGAGTGTTTGTGTTTAGTTATGGGAAATTATTCCCGTTTCCAACGAAATCCTCAGAGAGCTCTAAATATCCACCTGCAGATTCTACCAAAAGTGTATTTGGAAACTGCTCCATCAAAAGGCATGTTCAGCTCTGTGAGTGAAACTCCATCATCACAAAGAATATTCTGAGAATGCTTCCGTTTGCCTTTTATATGAAGTTCCTTCCTATACGACCGTAGGCCTCAAAGCAGTCCAAATCTCCATTTGCAGATTCTCCAAAAAGAGTGATTCCAATCTGCTCTATCAATAGGATTGTTCAACTCCATGTGTTGAATGCCATCCTCACAAAGTCGTTTCTGAGAATGCTTCTATCTAGTTTTTATGTGAAGATATTTCCTTTTCCACCACAGGCCTCAAAGCCCTCCAAACGTCCACTTGCAGATCCTCGAAAAAGAGTGTTTCATAGCTGCTCTTTCAAAAGGAAAGTTCAACTCTGGGAGTTGAATACAAACATCACAAAGTAGTTTCCGAGAATGCTTCTGTTTAGTTTTTATGTGAAGATGATCCCGTTTCCAGTGAAATCTTCAAAGAGGTCCACATATCCCCTTGCAGATTCCAAAGAAAGAGGGTTTCAAAACTGCTCCATCAGAAGGATTGTTCAACTCTGTGAGTTGAATGCAGTCATCGCAGAAAACTTTCTGAGAATGCTTCTGTCTAGGTTTGATGTGAAGATATAGACGTTTCAAACGAAGGCTACAAAGTGGTCAAAATATACACTTGCAGATTCTACTACAAGGGTGTTGCAAACCTGAACTATCAAAGGAAGGTTCAACTCTGTGAGTTGAATACAAACATCACAAAGAATGTTCTGAGTTTGCTTCCGTTCAGTTATGGGAAGTTGATCCCGTTTCCAACGAAATCCTCAGAGAGGTCCAAATATCCCCTTGCAGATTCTACAAAACGTGTGTTTGGAAACTGCTCCATCATAACGAATGTTCAGCTCCCCGAGTTAAACTCCATCGTCACAAAGAATTTTCTGAGAGTGCTACCGTCTGGTTTTTATATGAAGTTCTTTCCTTCACTACCACAGGCCTCAAAGCGGTCCAAATCTCCACTTGCAGATTCTACAAAAAGAGTGTTTGCAAACTGCTCTATCAAAAGGAATGTTCAACTCTGGGAGTTGAATGCAATCATCACAGAGCAGTTTCTGAGAATGCTTCTATGTCGTTTTTAGGAGAAGATATTTCCTTTTCCAACACAGTCCTCCAAGCCCGCTAAATAGCCACTTGCACATTGTAGAAAACGTGTGTCAAAGCTGCGCTATCAAAGGGAAAGTTCAACTCTGTGAGGTGAATGCAAACATCCCAAAGAAGTTTCTGAGAATGCTTCCGTTTAGCTTTTAGGTGAAGATTATCCCGTTTCCAACGAAACCTTCAAAGAGGTCCAAATATCCCCTTGCGGATCCCACAGAAAGAGTGTTTCGAAACTGCTGTTTCAAAAGGAATCTTCAACTCTGTGAGTTGAATGCAATCATCACAAAGAAGTTTCTGACAATGCTTCTCTCTCGTCTTTCTGTGAAGATAAAGGAAAAGGCTTTCAGGCCTTTTCCACCACAGGCCTGAAAGCGCTCCAAATGTCCACTTGCAGATTCTGCCAAAAGAATATTTCAAAACTGCTCTATGAAACGCAATGTTAAACTCTGTGGCTCGAACACAAACATCACAAAGCGGTTTCTGAGAATGCTTCAGTTTAGTTTTTCTGTGGAAATATTCCCGTTTCCAAAGAAATCTTCAAAGAGGTCCACGTATCCACTTACAGATTCTACAAAAAGACAGTTTCAAAACTGCTCCATCAAAAGGAGGGTTCAACTGTGTGACTTGAATGCAATCATCACTCAGAAGTTTCTGAGAATGCTTCTCTTTAGTTTTTACGTGAACATATACCCGTTTCGAACGAAGGCCAGCCAGTGGTCCAAATATCCACTTGCAGATTCTACAGAAAGAGTGTTTCGAACCTGAACTCTCAAAGGCAGGTTCATCTCTGCGAGTTAAATGCATTCATCATGAAGAACTTTCTCAGAGTGTTTGTGTTTAGTTATGGGAAATTATTCCCCGTTTCCAACGAAATCCTCAGAGAGCTCCAAATATCCACCTGCAGATTCTACCAAAAGTGTATTTGGAAACTGCTCCATCAAAAGGCATGTTCAGCTCTGTGAGTGAAACTCCATCATCACAAAGAATATTCTGAGAATGCTTCCGTTTGCCTTTTATATGAAGTTCCTTCCTGTACTACCGTAGGCCTCAAAGCAGTCCAAATCTCCATTTGCAGATTCTATAAAAAGAGTGATTCCAATCTGCTCTATCAATAGGATTGTTCAACTCCATGAGTTGAATGCCATCCTCACAAAGTAGTTTCTGAGAATGCTTCTATCTGGTTTTTGTGTGAAGATATTTCCTTTTCCACCACAGGCCTCAAAGCCCTCCAAACGTCCACTTGCAGATTCTCGAAAAAGAGTGTTTCATAGCTGCTCTTTCCAAAGGAAAGTTCAACTCTGGGAGTTGAATACAAACATCACAAAGTAGTTTCCGAGAATGCTTCTGTTTAGTTTTTATGTGAAGATGATCCCGTTTCCAGTGAAATCTTCAAAGAGGTCCACATATCCCCTTGCAGATTCCAAAGAAAGAGGGTTTCAAAACTGCTCCATCAGAAGGATTGTTCAACTCTGTGAGTTGAATGCAGTCATCGCAGAAAACTTTCTGAGAAAGCTTCTGTCCAGGTTTGATGTGAAGATATAGACGTTTCAAACGAAGGCTACAAAGTGGTCAAAATATACACTTGCAGATTCTACTACAAGGGTGTTGCAAACCTGAACTATCAAAGGAAGGTTCAACTCTGTGAGTTGAATACAAACATCACAAAGAATGTTCTGAGTTTGCTTCCGTTCAGTTATGGGAAGTTGATCCCGTTTCCAAAGAAATCCTCAGAGAGGTCCAAATATCCCCTCGCAGATTCTACAAAACGTGTGTTTGGAAACTGCTCCATCATAACGAATGTTCAGCTCCCTGAGTTAAACTCCATCGTCACAAAGAATTTTCTGAGAGTGCTACCGTCTGGTTTTTATATGAAGTTCTTTCCTTCACTACCACAGGCCTCAAAGCGGTCCAAATCTCCACTTGCAGATTCTACAAAAAGAGTGTTTGCAAACTGCTCTATCAAAAGGAATGTTCAACTCTGGGAGTTGAATGCAATCATCACAGAGCAGTTTCTGAGAATGCTTCTATGTCGTTTTTAGGAGAAGATATTTCCTTTTCCAACACTGTCCTCCAAGTCCGCTAAATAGCCACTTGCACATTGTAGAAAAAGTGTGTCAAAGCTGCGCTATCAAAGGGAAAGTTCAACTCTGTGAGGTGAATGCAAACATCCCAAAGAAGTTTCTGAGAATGCTTCCGTTTAGCTTTTAGGTGAAGATTATCCCGTTTCCAACGAAACCTTCAAAGAGGTCCAAATATCCCCTTGCGGATCCCACAGAAAGAGTGTTTCGAAACTGCTGTTTCAAAAGGAATCTTCAACTCTGTGAGTTGAATGCAATCATCACAAAGAAGTTTCTGACAATGCTTCTCTCTCGTCTTTCTGTGAAGATAAAGGAAAAGGCTTTCAGGCCTTTTCCACCACAGGCCTGAAAGCGCTCCAAATGTCCACTTGCAGATTCTGCGAAAAGAATATTTCAAAACTGCTCTATGAAAAGCAATGTTAAACTCTGTGGCTGGAACACAAACATCACAAAGCAGTTTCTGAGAATGTTTCAGTTTAGTTTTTCTGTGGAAATATTCCCGTTTCCAAAGAAATCTTCAAAGAGGTCCACGTATCCACTTACAGATTCTACAAAAAGACAGTTTCAAAACTGCTCCATCAAAAGGAGGGTTCAACTGTGTGACTTGAATGCAATCATCACTCAGAAGTTTCTGAGAATGCTTCTCTTTAGTTTTTACGTGAACATATACCCGTTTCGAACGAAGGCCACCCAGTGGTCCAAATATCCACTTGCAGATTATACAGAAAGAGTGTTTCGAACCTGAACTCTCAAAGGCAGGTTCATCTCTGCGAGTTAAATGCATTCATCATGAAGAACTTTCTCAGAGTGTTTGTGTTTAGTTATGGGAAATTATTCCCGTTTCCAACGAAATCCTCAGAGAGCTCCAAATATCCACCTGCAGATTCTACCAAAAGTGTATTTGGAAACTGCTCCATCAAAAGGCATGTTCAGCTCTGTGAGTGAAACTCCATCATCACAAAGAATATTCTGAGAATGCTTCCGTTTGCCTTTTATATGAAGTTCCTTCCTGTACTACCGTAGGCCTCAAAGCAGTCCAAATCTCCATTTGCAGATTCTACAAAAAGAGTGATTCCAATCTGCTCTATCAAAAGGATTGTTCAACTCCATGAGTTGAATGCCATCCTCACAAAGCAGTTTCTGAGAATGCTTCTATCTGGTTTTTGTGTGAAGATATTTCCTTTTCCACCACAGGCCTCAAAGCCCTCCAAACGTCCACTTGCAGATTCTCGAAAAAGAGTGTTTCATAGCTGCTCTTTCAAAAGGAAAGTTCAACTCTGGGAGTTGAATACAAACATCACAAAATAGTTTCCGAGAATGCTTCTGTTTAGTTTTTATGTGAAGATGATCCCGTTTCCAGTGAAATCTTCAAAGAGGTCCACATATCCCCTTGCAGATTCCAAAGAAAGAGGGTTTCAAAACTGCTCCATCAGAAGGATTGTTCAACTCTGTGAGTTGAATGCAGTCATCGCAGAAAACTTTCTGAGAATGCTTCTGTCTAGGTTTGATGTGAAGATATAGACGTTTCAAACGAAGGCTACAACGTGGTCAAAATATACACTTGCAGATTCTACTACAAGGGTGTTGGAAACCTGAAGTATCAAAGGATGGTTCAACTCTGTGAGTTGAATACAAACATCACAAAGAATGTTCTGAGTTTGCTTCCGTTCAGTTATGGGAAGTTGATCCCGTTTCCAACGAAATCCTCAGAGAGGTCCAAATATCCCCTCGCAGATTCTACAAAACGTTTGTTTGGAAACTGCTCCATCATAACGAATGTTCAGCTCCCTGAGTTAAACTCCATCGTCACAAAGAATTTTCTGAGAGTGCTACCGTCTGGTTTTTATATGAAGTTCTTTCCTTCACTACCACAGGCCTCAAAGCGGTCCAAATCCCCACTTGCAGATTCTACAAAAAGAGTGTTTGCAAACTGCTCTATCAAAAGGAATGTTCAACTCTGGGAGTTGAATGCAATCATCACAGAGCAGTTTCTGAGAATGCTTCTATGTCGTTTTTAGGAGAAGATATTTCCTTTTCCAACACAGTCCTCCAAGCCCGCTAAATAGCCACTTGCACATTGTAGAAAAAGTGTGTCAAAGCTGCGCTATCAAAGGGAAAGTTCAACTCTGTGAGGTGAATGCAAACATCCCAAAGAAGTTTCTGAGAATGCTTCCGTTTAGCTTTTAGGTGAAGATTATCCCGTTTCCAACGAAACCTTCAAAGAGGTCCAAATATCCCCTTGCGGATCCCACAGAAAGAGTGTTTCGAAACTGCTGTTTCAAAAGGAATCTTCAACTCTGTGAGTTGAATGCAATCATCACAAAGAAGTTTCTGACAATGCTTCTCTCTCGTCTTTCTGTGAAGATAAAGGAAAAGGCTTTCAGGCCTTTGCCACCACAGGCCTGAAAGCGCTCCAAATGTCCACTTGCAGATTCTGCGAAAAGAATATTTCAAAACTGCTCTATGAAAAGCAATGTTAAACTCTGCGGCTCGAACACAAACATCACAAAGCGGTTTCTGAGAATGCTTCAGTTTAGTTTTTCTGTGGAAGTATTCCCGTTTCCAAAGAAATCTTCAAAGAGGTCCACGTATCCACTTACAGATTCTAAAAAAGACAGTTTCAAAACTGCTCCATCAAAAGGAGGGTTCAACTGTGTGACTTGAATGCAATCATCACTCAGAAGTTTCTGAGAATGCTTCTCTTTAGTTTTTACGTGAACATATACGCGTTTCGAACGAAGGCCACCCAGTGGTCCAAATATCCACTTGCAGATTATACAGAAAGAGTGTTTCGAACCTGAACTCTCAAAGGCAGGTTCATCTCTGCGAGTTAAATGCATTCATCATGAAGAACTTTCTCAGAGTGTTTGTGTTTAGTTATGGGAAATTATTCCCGTTTCCAACGAAATCCTCAGAGAGCTCCAAATATCCACCTGCAGATTCTACCAAAAGTGTATTTGGAAACTGCTCCGTCAAAAGGCATGTTCAGCTCTGTGAGTGAAACTCCATCATCACAAAGAATATTCTGAGAATGCTTCCGTTTGCCTTTTATCTGAAGTTCCTTCCTATACGACCGTAGGCCTCAAAGCAGTCCAAATCTCCATTTCCAGATTCTACAAAAAGAGTGATTCCAATCTGCTCTATCAATAGGATTGTTCAACTCCATGAGTTGAATGCCATCCTCACAAAGTCGTTTCTGAGAATGCTTCTATCTAGTTTTTATGTGAAGATATTTCCTTTTCCACCACAGGCCTCAAAGCCCTCCAAACGTCCACTTGCAGATTCTCGAAAAGGAGTGTTTCATAGCTGCTCTTTCAAAAGGAAAGTTCAACTCTGGGAGTTGAATACAAACATCACAAAGTAGTTTCCGAGAATGCTTCTGTTTAGTTTTTATGTGAAGATGATCCCGTTTCCAGTGAAATCTTCAAAGAGGTCCACATATCCCCTTGCAGATTCCAAAGAAAGAGGGTTTCAAAACTGCTCCATCAGAAGGATTGTTCAACTCTGTGAGTTGAATGCAGTCATCGCAGAAAACTTTCTGAGAATGCTTCTGTCTAGGTTTGATGTGAAGATATAGACGTTTCAAACGAAGGCTACAAAGTGGTCAAAATATACACTTGCAGATTCTACTACAAGGGTGTTGCAAACCTGAACTATCAAAGGAAGGTTCAACTCTGTGAGTTGAATACAAACATCACAAAGAATGTTCTGAGTTTGCTTCTGTTCAGTTATGGGATGTTGATCCCGTTTCCAACGAAATCCTCAGAGAGGTCCAAATATCCCCTTGCAGATTCTACAAAACGTGTGTTTGGAAACTGCTCCATCATAACGAATGTTCAGCTCCCTGAGTTAAACTCCATCGTCACAAAGAATTTTCTGAGAGTGCTACCGTCTGGTTTTTATATGAAGTTCTTTCCTTCACTACCACAGGCCTCAAAGCGGTCCAAATCTCCACTTGCAGATTCTACAAAAAGAGTGTTTGCAAACTGCTCTATCAAAAGGAATGTTCAACTCTGGGAGTTGAATGCAATCATCACAGAGCAGTTTCTGAGAATGCTTCTATGTCGTTTTTAGGAGAAGATATTTCCTTTTCCAACACAGTCCTCCAAGCCCGCTAAATAGCCACTTGCACATTGTAGAAAAAGTGTGTCAAAGCTGCGCTATCAAAGGGAAAGTTCAACTCTGTGAGGTGAATGCAAACATCCCAAAGAAGTTTCTGAGAATGCTTCCGTTTAGCTTTTAGGTGAAGATTATCCCGTTTCCAACGAAACCTTCAAAGAGGTCCAAATATCCCCTTGCGGATCCCACAGAAAGAGTGTTTCGAAACTGCTGTTTCAAAAGGAATCTTCAACTCTGTGAGTTGAATGCAATCATCACAAAGAAGTTTCTGACAATGCTTCTCTCTCGTCTTTCTGTGAAGATAAAGGAAAAGGCTTTCAGGCCTTTTCCACCCACAGGCCTGAAAGCGCTCCAAATGTCCACTTGCAGATTCTGCGAAAAGAATATTTCAAAACTGCTCTATGAAAAGCAATGTTAAACTCTGTGGCTCGAACACAAACATCACAAAGCGGTTTCTGAGAATGCTTCAGTTTAGTTTTTCTGTGGAAATATTCCCGTTTCCAAAGAAATCTTCAAAGAGGTCCACGTATCCACTTACAGATTCTACAAAAAGACAGTTTCAAAACTGCTCCATCAAAAGGAGGGTTCAACTGTGTGACTTGAATGCAATCATCACTCAGAAGTTTCTGAGAATGCTTCTCTTTAGTTTTTACGTGAACATATACCCGTTTCGAACGAAGGCCACCCAGTGGTCCAAATATCCACTTGCAGATTATACAGAAAGAGTGTTTCGAACCTGAACTCTCAAAGGCAGGTTCATCTCTGCGAGTTAAATGCATTCATCATGAAGAACTTTCTCAGAGTGTTTGTGTTTAGTTATGGGAAATTATTCCCGTTTCCAACGAAATCCTCAGAGAGCTCCAAATATCCACCTGCAGATTCTACCAAAAGTGTATTTGGAAACTGCTCCATCAAAAGGCATGTTCAGCTCTGTGAGTGAAACTCCATCATCACAAAGAATATTCTGAGAATGCTTCCGTTTGCCTTTTATATGAAGTTCCTTCCTGTACTACCGTAGGCCTCAAAGCAGTCCAAATCTCCATTTGCAGATTCTACAAAAAGAGTGATTCCAATCTGCTCTATCAATAGGATTGTTCAACTCCATGAGTTGAATGCCATCCTCACAAAGTAGTTTCTGAGAATGCTTCTATCTGGTTTTTGTGTGAAGATATTTCCTTTTCCACCACAGGCCTCAAAGCCCTCCAAACGTCCACTTGCAGATTCTCGAAAAAGAGTGTTTCATAGCTGCTCTTTCAAAAGGAAAGTTCAACTCTGGGAGTTGAATACAAACATCACAAAATAGTTTCCGAGAATGCTTCAGTTTAGTTTTTATGTGAAGATGATCCCGTTTCCAGTGAAATCTTCAAAGAGGTCCACATATCCCCTTGCAGATTCCAAAGAAAGAGGGTTTCAAAACTGCTCCATCAGAAGGATTGTTCAACTCTGTGAGTTGAATGCAGTCATCGCAGAAAACTTTCTGAGAATGCTTCTGTCTAGGTTTGATGTGAAGATATAGACGTTTCAAACGAAGGCTACAAAGTGGTCAAAATATACACTTGCAGATTCTACTACAAGGGTGTTGCAAACCTGAACTATCAAAGGAAGGTTCAACTCTGTGAGTTGAATACAAACATCACAAAGAATGTTCTGAGTTTGCTTCCGTTCAGTTATGGGAAGTTGATCCCGTTTCCAACGAAATCCTCAGAGAGGTCCAAATATCCCCTCGCAGATTCTACAAAACATGTGTTTGGAAACTGCTCCATCATAACGAATGTTCAGCTCCCTGAGTTAAACTCCATCGTCACAAAGAATTTTCTGAGAGTGCTACCGTCTGGTTTTTATATGAAGTTCTTTCCTTCACTACCACAGGCCTCAAAGCGGTCCAAATCTCCACTTGCAGATTCTACAAAAAGAGTGTTTGCAAACTGCTCTATCAAAAGGAATGTTCAACTCTGGGAGTTGAATGCAATCATCACAGAGCAGTTTCTGAGAATGCTTCTATGTCGTTTTTAGGAGAAGATATTTCCTTTTCCAACACAGTCCTCCAAGCCCGCTAAATAGCCACTTGCACATTGTAGAAAAAGTGTGTCGAAGCTGCGCTATCAAAGGGAAAGTTCAACTCTGTGAGGTGAATGCAAACATCCCAAAGAAGTTTCTGAGAATGCTTCCGTTTAGCTTTTAGGTGAAGATTATCCCGTTTCCAACGAAACCTTCAAAGAGGTCCAAATATCCCCTTGCGGATCCCACAGAAAGAGTGTTTCGAAACTGCTGTTTCAAAAGGAATCTTCAACTCTGTGAGTTGAATGCAATCATCACAAAGAAGTTTCTGACAATGCTTCTCTCTCGTCTTTCTGTGAAGATAAAGGAAAAGGCTTTCAGGCCTTTTCCACCACAGGCCTGAAAGCGCTCCAAATGTCCACTTGCAGATTCTGCGAAAAGAATATTTCAAAACTGCTCTATGAAAAGCAATGTTAAACTCTGTGGCTCGAACACAAACATCACAAAGCGGTTTCTGAGAATGCTTCAGTTTAGTTTTTCTGTGGAAATATTCCCGTTTCGAAAGAAATCTTCAAAGAGGTCCACGTATCCACTTACAGATTCTACAAAAAGACAGTTTCAAACTGCTCCATCAAAAGGAGGGTTCAACCGTGTGACTTGAATGCAATCATCACTCAGAAATTTCTGAGAATGCTTCTCTTTAGTTTTTACGTGAACATATACCCGTTTCGAACGAAGGCCACCCAGTGGTCCAAATATCCACTTGCAGATTATACAGAAAGAGTGTTTCGAACCTGAACTCTCAAAGGCAGGTTCATCTCTGCGAGTTAAATGCATTCATCATGAAGAACTTTCTCAGAGTGTTTGTGTTTAGTTATGGGAAATTATTCCCCTTTCCAACGAAATCCTCAGAGAGCTCCAAATATCCACCTGCAGATTCTACCAAAAGTGTATTTGGAAACTGCTCCATCAAAAGGCATGTTCAGCTCTGTGAGTGAAACTCCATCATCACAAAGAATATTCTGAGAATGCTTCCGTTTGCCTTTTATATGAAGTTCCTTCCTGTACGACCGTAGGCCTCAAAGCAGTCCAAATCTCCATTTGCAGATTCTACAAAAAGAGTGATTCCAATCTGCTCTATCAATAGGATTGTTCAACTCCATGAGTTGAATGCCATCCTCACAAAGCAGTTTCTGAGAATGCTTCTATCTGGTTTTTGTGTGAAGATATTTCCTTTTCCACCACAGGCCTCAAAGCCCTCCAAACGTCCACTTGCAGATTCTCGAAAAAGAGTGTTTCATAGCTGCTCTTTCAAAAGGAAAGTTCAACTCTGGCAGTTGAATACAAACATCACAAAGTAGTTTCCGAGAATGCTTCTGTTTAGTTTTTATGTGAAGATGATCCCGTTTCCAGTGAAATCTTCAAAGAGGTCCACATATCCCCTTGCAGATTCCAAAGAAAGAGGGTTTCAAAACTGCTCCATCAGAAGGATTGTTCAACTCTGTGAGTTGAATGCAGTCATCGCAGAAAACTTTCTGAGAATGCTTCTGTCTAGGTTTGATGTGAAGATATAGAGGTTTCAAACGAAGGCTACAAAGTGGTCAAAATATACACTTGCAGATTCTACTACAAGGGTGTTGCAAACCTGAACTATCAAAGGAAGGTTCAACTCTGTGAGTTGAATACAAACATCACAAAGAATGTTCTGAGTTTGCTTCCGTTCAGTTATGGGAAGTTGATCCCGTTTCCAACGAAATCCTCAGAGAGGTCCAAATATCCCCTTGCAGATTCTACAAAACGTGTGTTTGGAAACTGCTCCATCATAACGAATGTTCAGCTCCCTGAGTTAAACTCCATCGTCACAAAGAATTTTCTGAGAGTGCTACCGTCTGGTTTTTATATGAAGTTCTTTCCTTCACTACCACAGGCCTCAAAGCGGTCCAAATCTCCACTTGCAGATTCTACAAAAAGAGTGTTTGCAAACTGCTCTATCAAAAGGAATGTTCAACTCTGGGAGTTCAATGCAATCATCACAGAGCAGTTTCTGAGAATGCTTCTATGTCGTTTTTAGGAGAAGATATTTCCTTTTCCAACACAGTCCTCCTAGCCCGCTAAATAGCCACTTGCACATTGTAGAAAAAGTGTGTCAAAGCTGCGCTATCAAAGGGAAAGTTCAACTCTGTGAGGTGAATGCAAACATCCCAAAGAAGTTTCTGAGAATGCTTCCGTTTAGCTTTTAGGTGAAGATTATCCCGTTTCCAACGAAACCTTCAAAGAGGTCCAAATATCCCCTTGCGGATCCCACAGAAAGAGTGTTTCGAAACTGCTGTTTCAAAAGGAATCTTCAACTCTGTGAGTTGAATGCAATCATCACAAAGAAGTTTCTGACAATGCTTCTCTCTCGTCTTTCTGTGAAGATAAAGGAAAAGGCTTTCAGGCCTTTTCCACCACAGGCCTGAAAGCGCTCCAAATGTCCACTTGCAGATTCTGTGAAAAGAATATTGCAAAACTGCTCTATGAAAAGCAATGTTAAACTCTGTGGCTCGAACACAAACATCACAAAGCAGTTTCTGAGAATGCTTCAGTTTAGTTTTTCTGTGGAAATATTCCCGTTTCCAAAGAAATCTTCAAAGAGGTCCACGTGTCCACTTACAGATTCTACAAAAAGACAGTTTCAAAACTGCTCCATCAAAAGGAGGGTTCAACTGTGTGACTTGAATGCAATCATCACTCAGAAGTTTCTGAGAATGCTTCTCTTTAGTTTTTACGTGAACATATACCCGTTTCGAACGAAGGCCACCCAGTGGTCCAAATATCCACTTGCAGATTCTACAGAAAGAGTGTTTCGAACCTGAACTCTCAAAGGCAGGTTCATCTCTGCGAGTTAAATGCATTCATCATGAAGAACTTTCTCAGAGTGTTTGTGTTTAGTTATGGGAAATTATTCCCGTTTCCAACGAAATCCTCAGAGAGCTCCAAATATCCACCTGCAGATTCTACCAAAAGCGTATTTGGAAACTGCTCCATCAAAAGGCATGTTCAGCTCTGTGAGTGAAACTCCATCATCACAAAGAATATTCTGAGAATGCTTCCGTTTGCCTTTTATATGAAGTTCCTTCCTGTACTACCGTAGGCCTCAAAGCAGTCCAAATCTCCATTTGCAGATTCTACAAAAAGAGTGATTCCAATCTGCTCTATCAATAGGATTGTTCAACTCCATGAGTTGAATGCCATCCTCACAAAGTAGTTTCTGAGAATGCTTCTATCTGGTTTTTGTGTGAAGATATTTCCTTTTCCACCACAGGCCTCAAAGCCCTCCAAACGTCCACTTGCAGATTCTCGAAAAAGAGTGTTTCATAGCTGCTCTTTCAAAAGGAAAGTTCAACTCTGGGAGTTGAATACAAACATCACAAAGTAGTTTCCGAGAATGCTTCTGTTTAGTTTTTATGTGAAGATGATCCCGTTTCCAGTGAAATCTTCAAAGAGGTCCACATATCCCCTTGCAGATTCCAAAGAAAGAGGGTTTCAAAACTGCTCCATCAGAAGGATTGTTCAACTCTGTGAGTTGAATGCAGTCATCGCAGAAAACTTTCTGAGAATGCTTCTGTCTAGGTTTGATGTGAAGATATAGACGTTTCAAACGAAGGCTACAAAGTGGTCAAAATATACACTTGCAGATTCTACTACAAGGGTGTTGCAAACCTGAACTATCAAAGGAAGGTTCAACTCTGTGAGTTGAATACAAACATCACAAAGAATGTTCTGAGTTTGCTTCCGTTCAGTTATGGGAAGTTGATCCCGTTTCCAACGAAATCCTCAGAGAGGTCCAAATATCCCCTTGCAGATTCTACAAAACGTGTGTTTGGAAACTGCTCCATCATAACGAATGTTCAGCTCCCTGAGTTAAACTCCATCGTCACAAAGAATTTTCTGAGAGTGTTACCGTCTGGTTTTTATATGAAGTTCTTTCCTTCACTACCACAGGCCTCAAAGCGGTCCAAATCTCCACTTGCAGATTCTACAAAAAGAGTGTTTGCAAACTGCTCTATCAAAAGGAATGTTCAACTCTGGGAGTTGAATGCAATCATCACAGAGCAGTTTCTGAGAATGCTTCTATGTCGTTTTTAGGAGAAGATATTTCCTTTTCCAACACAGTCCTCCAAGCCCGCTAAATAGCCACTTGCACATTGTAGAAAAAGTGTGTCAAAGCTGCGCTATCAAAGGGAAAGTTCAACTCTGTGAGGTGAATGCAAACATCCCAAAGAAGTTTCTGAGAATGCTTCCGTTTAGCTTTTAGGTGAAGATTATCCCGTTTCCAACGAAACCTTCAAAGAGGTCCAAATATCCCCTTGCGGATCCCACAGAAAGAGTGTTTCGAAACTGCTGTTTCAAAAGGAATCTTCAACTCTGTGAGTTGAATGCAATCATCACAAAGAAGTTTCTGACAATGCTTCTCTCTCGTCTTTCTGTGAAGATAAAGGAAAAGGCTTTCAGGCCTTTTCCACCACAGGCCTGAAAGCGCTCCAAATGTCCACTTGCAGATTCTGCGAAAAGAATATTTCAAAACTGCTCTATGAAAAGCAATGTTAAACTCTGTGGCTCGAACACAAACATCACAAAGCGGTTTCTGAGAATGCTTCAGTTTAGTTTTTCTGTGGAAATATTCCCGTTTCCAAAGAAATCTTCAAAGAGGTCCACGTATCCACTTACAGATTCTACAAAAAGACAGTTTCAAAACTGCTCCATCAAAAGGAGGGTTCAACTGTGTGACTTGAATGCAATCATCACTCAGAAGTTTCTGAGAATGCTTCTCTTTAGTTTTTACGTGAACATATACCCGTTTCGAACGAAGGCCAGCCAGTGGTCCAAATATCCACTTGCAGATTCTACAGAAAGAGTGTTTCGAACCTGAACTCTCAAAGGCAGGTTCATCTCTGCGAGTTAAATGCATTCATCATGAAGAACTTTCTCAGAGTGTTTGTGTTTAGTTATGGGAAATTATTCCCTTTTCCAACGAAATCCTCAGAGAGCTCCAAATATCCACCTGCAGATTCTACCAAAAGTGTATTTGGAAACTGCTCCATCAAAAGGCATGTTCAGCTCTGTGAGTGAAACTCCATCATCACAAAGAATATTCTGAGAATGCTTCCGTTTGCCTTTTATATGAAGTTCCTTCCTATACTACCGTAGGCCTCAAAGCAGTCCAAATCTCCATTTGCAGATTCTACAAAAAGAGTGATTCCAATCTGCTCTATCAATAGGATTGTTCAACTCCATGAGTTGAATGCCATCCTCACAAAGTAGTTTCTGAGAATGCTTCTATCTAGTTTTTATGTGAAGATATTTCCTTTTCCACCACAGGCCTCAAAGCCCTCCAAACGTCCACTTGCAGATTCTCGAAAAAGAGTGTTTCATAGCTGCTCTTTCAAAAGGAAATTTCAACTCTGGGAGTTGAATACAAACATCACAAAGAATGTTCTGAGTTTGCTTCCGTTCAGTTATGGGAAGTTGATCCCGTTTCCAACGAAATCCTCAGAGAGGTCCAAATATCCCCTTGCAGATTCTACAAAACGTGTGTTTGGAAACTGCTCCATCATAACGAATGTTCAGCTCCCTGAGTTAAACTCCATCGTCACAAAGAATTTTCTGAGAGTGCTACCGTCTGTTTTTTATATGAAGCTCTTTCCTTTACTACCCCAGTCCTCAAAGCGGTCCAAATCTCCACTTGCAGATTCTACAAAAAGAGTGTTTGCAAACTGCTCTATCAAAAGGAATGTTCAACTCTGGGAGTTGAATGCAATCATCACAGAGCAGTTTCTGAGAATGCTTCTATGTCGTTTTTAGGAGAAGATATTTCCTTTTCCAACACAGTCCTCCAAGCCCGCTAAATAGCCACTTGCACATTGTAGAAAAAGTGTGTCAAAGCTGCGCTATCAAAGGGAAAGTTCAACTCTGAGAGGTGAATGCAAACATCCCAAAGAAGTTTCTGAGAATGCTTCCGTTTAGCTTTTAGGTGAAGATTATCCCGTTTCCAACGAAACCTTCAAAGAGGTCCAAATATCCCCTTGCGGATCCCACAGAAAGAGTGTTTCGAAACTGCTGTTTCAAAAGGAATCTTCAACTCTGTGAGTTGAATGCAATCATCACAAAGAAGTTTCTGACAATGCTTCTCTCTCGTCTTCCTGTGAAGATAAAGGAAAAGGCTTTCAGGCCTTTTCCACCACAGGCCTGAAAGCGCTCCAAATGTCCACTTGCAGATTCTGCCAAAAGAATATTTCAAAACTGCTCTATGAAAAGCAATGTTAAACTCTGTGGCTCGAACACAAACATCACAAAGCAGTTTCTGAGAATGCTTCAGTTTAGTTTTTCTGTGGAAATATTCCCGTTTCCAAAGAAATCTTCAAAGAGGTCCACGTATCCACTTACAGATTCTACAAAAAGACAGTTTCAAAACTGCTCCATCAAAAGGAGGGTTCAACTGTGTGACTTGAATGTAATCATCACTCAGAAGTTTCTGAGAATGCTTCTCTTTAGTTTTTACGTGAACATATACGCGTTTCGAACGAAGGCCACCCAGTGGTCCAAATATCCACTTGCAGATTCTACAGAAAGAGTGTTTCGAACCTGAACTCTCAAAGGCAGGTTCATCTCTGCGAGTTAAATGCATTCATCATGAAGAACTTTCTCAGAGTGTTTGTGTTTAGTTATGGGAAATTATTCCCGTTTCCAACGAAATCCTCAGAGAGCTCCAAATATCCACCTGCAGATTCTACCAAAAGTGTATTTGGAAACTGCTCCATCAAAAGGCATGTTCAGCTCTGTGAGTGAAACTCCATCATCACAAAGAATATTCTGAGAATGCTTCCGTTTGCCTTTTATATGAACTTCCTTCCTGTACTACCGTAGGCCTCAAAGCAGTCCAAATCTCCATTTGCAGATTCTACAAAAAGAGTGATTCCAATCTGCTCTATCAATAGGATTGTTCAACTCCATGAGTTGAATGCCATCCTCACAAAGTAGTTTCTGAGAATGCTTCTATCTGGTTTTTGTGTGAAGATATTTCCTTTTCCACCACAGGCCTCAAAGCCCTCCAAACGTCCACTTGCAGATTCTCGAAAAAGAGTGTTTCATAGCTGCTCTTTCAAAAGGAAAGTTCAACTCTGGGAGTTGAATACAAACATCACAAAATAGTTTCCGAGAATGCTTCTGTTTAGTTTTTATGTGAAGATGATCCCGTTTCCAGTGAAATCTTCAAAGAGGTCCACATATCCCCTTGCAGATTCCAAAGAAAGAGGGTTTCAAAACTGCTCCATCAAAAGGATTGTTCAACTCTGTGAGTTGAATGCAGTCATCGCAGAAAACTTTCTGAGAATGCTTCTGTCTAGGTTTGATGTGAAGATATAGACGTTTCAAACGAAGGCTACAAAGTGGTCAAAATATACACTTGCAGATTCTACTACAAGGGTTTTGCAAACCTGAACTATCAAAGGAAGGTTCAACTCTGTGAGTTGAATACAAACATAACAAAGAATGTTCTGAGTTTGCTTCCGTTCAGTTATGGGAAGTTGATCCCGTTTCCAACGAAATCCTCAGAGAGGTCCAAATATCCCCTCGCAGATTCTACAAAACGTGTGTTTGGAAACTGCTCCATCATAACGAATGTTCAGCTCCCTGAGTTAAACTCCATCGTCACAAAGAATTTTCTGAGAGTGCTACCGTCTGGTTTTTATATGAAGTTCTTTCCTTCACTACCACAGGCCTCAAAGCGGTCCAAATCTCCACTTGCAGATTCTACAAAAAGAGTGTTTGCAAACTGCTCTATCAAAAGGAATGTTCAACTCTGGGAGTTGAATGCAATCATCACAGAGCAGTTTCTGAGAATGCTTCTATGTCGTTTTTAGGAGAAGATATTTCCTTTTCCAACACCGTCCTCCAAGCCCGCTAAATAGCCACTTGCACATTGTAGAAATAGTGTGTCAAAGCTGCGCTATCAAAGGGAAAGTTCAACTCTGTGAGGTGAATGCAAACATCCCAAAGAAGTTTCTGAGAATGCTTCCGTTTAGCTTTTAGGTGAAGATTATCCCGTTTCCAACGAAACCTGCAAAGAGGTCCAAATATCCCCTTGCGGATCCCACAGAAAGAGTGTTTCGAAACTGCTGTTTCAAAAGGAATCTTCAACTCTGTGAGCTGAATGCAATCATCACAAAGAAGTTTCTGACAATGCTTCTCTCTCGTCTTTCTGTGAAGATAAAGGAAAAGGCTTTCAGGCCTTTTCCACCACAGGCCTGAAAGCGCTCCAAATGTCCACTTGCAGATTCTGCGAAAAGAATATTTCAAAACTGCTCTATGAAAAGCAATGTTAAACTCTGTGGCTGGAACACAAACATCACAAAGCGGTTTCTGAGAATGTTTCAGTTTAGTTTTTCTGTGGAAATATTCCCGTTTCCAAAGAAATCTTCAAAGAGGTCCACGTATCCACTTACAGATTCTACAAAAAGACAGTTTCAAAACTGCTCCATCAAAAGGAGGGTTCAACTGTGTGACTTGAATGCAATCATCACTCAGAAGTTTCTGAGAATGCTTCTCTTTAGTTTTTACGTGAACATATACCCGTTTCGAACGAAGGCCACCCAGTGGTCCAAATATCCACTTGCAGATTATACAGAAAGAGTGTTTCGAACCTGAACTCTCAAAGGCAGGTTCATCTCTGCGAGTTAAATGCATTCATCATGAAGAACTTTCTCAGAGTGTTTGTGTTTAGTTATGGGAAATTATTCCCGTTTCCAACGAAATCCTCAGAGAGCTCCAAATATCCACCTGCAGATTCTACCAAAAGTGTATTTGGAAACTGCTCCATCAACAGGCATGTTCAGCTCTGTGAGTGAAACTCCATCATCACAAAGAATATTCTGAGAATGCTTCCGTTTGCCTTTTATCTGAAGTTCCTTCCTATACGACCGTAGGCCTCAAAGCAGTCCAAATCTCCATTTGCAGATTCTACAAAAAGAGTGATTCCAATCTGCTCTATCAATAGGATTGTTCAACTCCATGAGTTGAATGCCATCCTCACAAAGTAGTTTCTGAGAATGCTTCTATCTAGTTTTTATGTTTAGGTATTTCCTTTTCCACCACAGGCCTCCAAGCCCTCCAAACGTCCACTTGCAGATTCTCGAAAAAGAGTGTTTCATAGCTGCTCTTTCAAAAGGAAAGTTCAACTCTGGGAGTTGAATACAAACATCACAAAGTAGTTTCCGAGAATGCTTCTGTTTAGTTTTTATGTGAAGATGATCCCGTTTCCAGTGAAATCTTCAAAGAGGTCCACATATCCCCTTGCAGATTCCAAAGAAAGAGGGTTTCAAAACTGCTCCATCAGAAGGATTGTTCAACTCTGTGAGTTGAATGCAGTCATCGCAGAAAACTTTCTGAGAATGCTTCTGTCTAGGTTTGATGTGAAGATATAGACGTTTCAAATGAAGGCTACAAAGTGGTCAAAATATACACTTGCAGATTCTACTACAAGGGTGTTGCAAACCTGAACTATCAAAGGAAGGTTCAACTCTGTGAGTTGAATACAAACATCACAAAGAATGTTCTGAGTTTGCTTCCGTTCAGTTATGGGAAGTTGATCCCGTTTCCAACGAAATCCTCAGAGAGGTCCAAATATCCCCTCGCAGATTCTACAAAACGTGTGTTTGGAAACTGCTCCATCATAACGAATGTTCAGCTCCCTGAGTTAAACTCCATCGTCACAAAGAATTTTCTGAGAGTGCTACCGTCTGGTTTTTATATGAAGTTCTTTCCTTCACTACCACAGGCCTCAAAGCGGTCCAAATCTCCACTTGCAGATTCTACAAAAAGAGTGTTTGCAAACTGCTCTATCAAAAGGAATGTTCAACACTGGGAGTTGAATGCAATCATCACAGAGCAGTTTCTGAGAATGCTTCTATGTCGTTTTTAGGAGAAGATATTTCCTTTTCCAACACAGTCCTCCAAGCCCGCTAAATAGCCACTTGCACATTGTAGAAAAAGTGTGTCAAAGCTGCGCTATCAAAGGGAAAGTTCAACTCTGTGAGGTGAATGCAAACATCCCAAAGAAGTTTCTGAGAATGCTTCCGTTTAGCTTTTAGGTGAAGATTATCCCGTTTCCAACGAAACCTTCAAAGAGGTCCAAATATCCCCTTGCGGATCCCACAGAAAGAGTGTTTCGAAACTGCTGTTTCAAAAGGAATCTTCAACTGCTGTGAGTTGAATGCAATCATCACAAAGAAGTTTCTGACAATGCTTCTCCCTCGTCTTTCTGTGAAGATAAAGGAAAAGGCTTTCAGGCCTTTTCCACCACAGGCCTGAAAGCGCTCCAAATGTCCACTTGCAGATTCTGCCAAAAGAATATTTCAAAACTGCTCTATGAAAAGCAATGTTAAACTCTGCGGCTCGAACACCAACATCACAAAGCAGTTTCTGAGAATGCTTCAGTTTAGTTTTTCTGTGGAAATATTCCCGTTTCCAAAGAAATCTTCCAAGTGGTCCACTTATCCACTTACAGATTCTACAAAAAGACAGTTTCAAAACTGCTCAATCAAAAAGCGGGTTCAACTGTGTGACTTGAATGCAATCATCACTCAGAAGTTTCTGAGAATGCTTCTCTTTAGTTTTTACGTGAACATATACCCGTTTCGAACGAAGGCCACCCAGTGGTCCAAATATCCACTTGCAGATTCTACAGAAAGAGTGTTTCGAACCTGAACTCTCAAAGGCAGGTTCATCTCTGCGAGTTAAATGCATTCATCATGAAGAACTTTCTCAGAGTGTTTGTGTTTAGTTATGGGAAATTATTCCCGTTTCCAACGAACTCCTCAGAGAGCTCCAAATATGCACCTGCACATTCTACCAAAAGTGTATTTGGAAACTGCTCCATCAAAAGGCATGTTCAGCTCTGTGAGTGAAACTCCATCATCACAAAGAATATTCTGAGAATGCTTCCGTTTGCCTTTTATATGAAGTTCCTTCCTATACTACCGTAGGCCTCAAAGCAGTCCAAATCTCCATTTGCAGATTCTACAAAAAGAGTGATTCCAATCTGCTCTATCAATAGGATTGTTCAACTCCATGAATTGAATGCCATCCTCACAAAGTCGTTTCTGAGAATGCTTCTATCTAGTTTTTATGTGAAGATATTTCCTTTTCCACCAGAGGCCTCAAAGCCCTCCAAACGTCCGCTTGCAGATTCTCGAAAAAGAGTGTTTCATAGCTGCTCTTTCAAAAGGAAAGTTCAACTCTGGGAGTTGAATACAAACATCACAAAGTAGTTTCCGAGAATGCTTCTGTTTAGTTCTTATGTGAAGATGATCCCGTTTCCAGTGAAATCTTCAAAGAGGTCCACATATCCCCTTGCAGATTCCAAAGAAAGAGGGTTTCAAAACTGCTCCATCAAAAGGATTGTTCAACTCTGTGAGTTGAATGCAGTCATCGCAGAAAACTTTCTGAGAATGCTTCTGTCTAGGTTTGATGTGAAGATATAGACGTTTCAAACGAAGGCTACAAAGTGGTCAACATATACACTTGCAGATTCTACTACAAGGGTGATGCAAACCTGAACTATCAAAGGAAGGTTCAACTCTGTGAGTTGAATACAAACATCACAAAGAATGTTCTGAGTTTGCTACCGTTCAGTTATGGGAAGTTGATCCCGTTTCCAACGAAATCCTCAGAGAGGTCCAAATATCCCCTTGCAGATTCTACAAAACGTGTGTTTGGAAACTGCTCCATCATAACGAATGTTCAGCTCTCTGAGTTAAACTCCATCGTCACAAAGAATTTTCTGAGAGTGCTACCGTCTAGTTTTTATATGAAGTTCTTTCCTTTACTACCACAGGCCTCAAGGCGGTCCAAATCTCCACTTGCAGATTCTACAAAAAGAGTGTTTGCAAACTGCTCTATCAAAAGGAATGTTCAACTCTGGGAGTTGAATGCAATCATCACAGAGTAGTTTCTGAGAATGCTTCTATGTCGTTTTTAGGAGAAGATATTTCCTTTTCCAACACAGTCCTCCAAGCCCGCTAAATAGCCACTTGCACATTGTAGAAAAAGTGTGTCAAAGCTGCGCTATCAAAGGGAAAGTTCAACTCTGTGAGGTGAATGCAAACATCCTAAAGAAGTTTCTGAGAATGCTTCCGTTTAGCTTTTAGGTGAAGATTATCCCGTTTCCAACGAAACCTTCAAAGAGGTCCAAATATCCCCTTGCGGATCCCACAGAAAGAGTGTTTCGAAACTGCTGTTTCAAAAGGAATCTTCAACTCTGTGAGTTGAATGCAATCATCACAAAGAAGTTTCTGACAATGCTTCTCTCTCGTCTTTCTGTGAAGATAAAGAAAAGGCTTTCAGGCCTTTTCCACCACAGGCCTGAAAGCGCTCCAAATGTCCACTTGCAGATTCTGCGAAAAGAATATTTCAAAACTGCTCTATGAAAAGCAATGTTAAACTCTGTGGCTCGAACACAAACATCACAAAGCAGTTTCTGAGAATGCTTCAGTTTAGTTTTTCTGTGGAAATATTCCCGTTTCCAAAGAAATCTTCAGAGGTCCACGTATCCACTTACAGATTCTACAAAAAGACAGTTTCAAAACTGCTCCATCAAAAGGAGGGTTCAACTGTGTGACTTGAATGCAATCATCACTCAGAAGTTTCTGAGAATGCTTCTCTTTAGTTTTTACGTGAACATATACCCGTTTCGAACGAAGGCCACCCAGTGGTCCAAATATCCACTTGCAGATTATACAGAAAGAGTGTTTCGAACCTGAACTCTCAAAGGCAGGTTCATCTCTGCGAGTTAAATGCATTCATCATGAAGAACTTTCTCAGAGTGTTTGTGTTTAGTTATGGGAAATTATTCCCGTTTCCAACGAAATCCTCAGAGAGCTCCAAATATCCACCTGCAGATTCTACCAAAAGTGTATTTGGAAACTGCTCCATCAACAGGCATGTTCAGCTCTGTGAGTGAAACTCCATCATCACAAAGAATATTCTGAGAATGCTTCCGTTTGCCTTTTATCTGAAGTTCCTTCCTATACGACCGTAGGCCTCAAAGCAGTCCAAATCTCCATTTGCAGATTCTACAAAAAGAGTGATTCCAATCTGCTCTATCAATAGGATTGTTCAACTCCATGAGTTGAATGCCATCCTCACAAAGTAGTTTCTGAGAATGCTTCTATCTAGTTTTTATGTGAAGGTATTTCCTTTTCCACCACAGGCCTCCAAGCCCTCCAAACGTCCACTTGCAGATTCTCGAAAAAGAGTGTTTCATAGCTGCTCTTTCAAAAGGAAAGTTCAACTCTGGGAGTTGAATACAAACATCACAAAGTAGTTTCCGAGAATGCTTCTGTTTAGTTTTTATGTGAAGATGATCCCGTTTCCAGTGAAATCTTCAAAGAGGTCCACATATCCCCTTGCAGATTCCAAAGAAAGAGGGTTTCAAAACTGCTCCATCAGAAGGATTGTTCAACTCTGTGAGTTGAATGCAGTCATCGCAGAAAACTTTCTGAGAATGCTTCTGTCTAGGTTTGATGTGAAGATATAGACGTTTCAAATGAAGGCTACAAAGTGGTCAAAATATACACTTGCAGATTCTACTACAAGGGTGTTGCAAACCTGAACTATCAAAGGAAGGTTCAACTCTGTGAGTTGAATACAAACATCACAAAGAATGTTCTGAGTTTGCTTCCGTTCAGTTATGGGAAGTTGATCCCGTTTCCAACGAAATCCTCAGAGAGGTCCAAATATCCCCTTGCAGATTCTACAAAACGTGTGTTTGGAAACTGCTCCATCATAACGAATGTTCAGCTCCCTGAGTTAAACTCCATCGTCACAAAGAATTTTCTGAGAGTGCTACCGTCTGGTTTTTATATGAAGTTCTTTCCTTCACTACCACTGGCCTCAAAGCGGTCCAAATCTCCACTTGCAGATTCTACAAAAAGAGTGTTTGCAAACTGCTCTATCAAAAGGAATGTTCAACTCTGGGAGTTGAATGCAATCATCACAGAGCAGTTTCTGAGAATGCTTCTATGTCGTTTTTAGGAGAAGATACTTCCTTTTCCAACACAGTCCTCCAAGCCCGCTAAATAGCCACTTGCACATTGTAGAAAAAGTGTGTCAAAGCTGCGCTATCAAAGGGAAAGTTCAACTCTGTGAGGTGAATGCAAACATCCCAAAGAAGTTTCTGAGAATGCTTCCGTTTAGCTTTTAGGTGAAGATTATCCCGTTTCCAACGAAACCTTCAAAGAGGTCCAAATATCCCCTTGCGGATCCCACAGAAAGAGTGTTTCGAAACTGCTGTTTCAAAAGGAATCTTCAACTCTGTGAGTTGAATGCAATCATCACAAAGAAGTTTCTGACAATGCTTCTCTCTCGTCTTTCTGTGAAGATAAAGGAAAAGGCTTTCAGGCCTTTGCCACCACAGGCCTGAAAGCGGTCCAAATGTCCACTTGCAGATTCTGCCAAAAGAATATTTCAAAACTGCTCTATGAAAAGCAATGTTAAACTCTGTGGCTCGAACACAAACATCACAAAGCGGTTTCTGAGAATGCTTCAGTTTAGTTTTTCTGTGGAAATATTCCCGTTTCCAAAGAAATCTTCAAAGAGGTCCACCATATCCACTTACAGATTCTACAAAAAGACAGTTTCAAAACTGCTCCATCAAAAGGAGGGTTCAACCGTGTGACTTGAATGCAATCATCACTCAGAAGTTTCTGAGAATGCTTCTCTTTAGTTTTTACGTGAACATATACCCGTTTCGAACGAAGGCCACCCAGTGGTCCAAATATCCACTTGCAGATTATACAGAAAGAGTGTTTCGAACCTGAACTCTCAAAGGCAGGTTCATCTCTGCGAGTTAAATGCATTCATCATGAAGAACTTTCTCAGAGTGTTTGTGTTTAGTTATGGGAAATTATTCCCGTTTCCAAGGAAATCCTCAGAGAGCTCCAAATATCCACCTGCAGATTCTACCAAAAGTGTATTTGGAAACTGCTCCATCAACAGGAATGTTCAGCTACTGTGAGTGAAACTCCATCATCACAAAGAATATTCTGAGAATGCTTCCGTTTGCCTTTTATATGAAGTTCCTTCCTATACGACCGTAGGCCTCAAAGCAGTCCAAATCTCCATTTGCAGATTCTACAAAAAGAGTGATTCCAATCTGCTCTATCAATAGGATTGTTCAACTCCATGAGTTGAATGCCATCCTCACAAAGTCGTTTCTAAGAATGCTTCTATCTAGTTTTTATGTGAAGATATTTCCTTTTCCACCACAGGCCTCAAAGCCCTCCAAACGGCCACTTGCAGATTCTCGAAAAAGAGTGTTTCATAGCTGCTCTTTCAAAAGGAAAGTTCAACTCTGGGAGTTGAATACAAACATCACAAAGTAGTTTCCGAGAATGCTTCTGTTTAGTTTTTATGTGAAGATGATCCCGTTTCCAGTGAAATCTTCAAAGAGGTCCACATATCCCCTTGCAGATTCCAAAGAAAGAGGGTTTCAAAACTGCTCCATCAGAAGGATTGTTCAACTCTGTGAGTTGAATGCAGTCATCGCAGAAAACTTTCTGAGAATGCTTCTGTCTAGGTTTGATGTGAAGATATAGACGTTTCAAACGAAGGCTACAAAGTGGTCAAAATATACACTTGCAGATTCTACTACAAGGGTGTTGCAAACCTGAACTATCAAAGGAAGGTTCAACTCCGTCAGTTGAATACAAACATCACAAAGAATGTTCTGAGTTTGCTTCCGTTCAGTTATGGGAAGTTGATCCCGTTTCCAACGAAATCCTCAGAGAGGTCCAAATATCCCCTTGCAGATTCTACAAAACGTGTGTTTGGAAACTGCTCCATCATAACGAATGTTCAGCTCCCTGAGTTAAACTCCATCGTCACAAAGAATTTTCTGAGAGTGCTACCGTCTAGTTTTTATATGAAGTTCTTTCCTTTACTACCACAGGCCTCAAAGCGGTCCAAATCTCCACTTGCAGATTCTACAAAAAGAGTGTTTGCAAACTGCTCTATCAAAAGGAGTGTTCAACTCTGGGAGTTGAATGCAATCATCACAGAGCAGTTTCTGAGAATGCTTCTATGTCGTTTTTAGGAGAAGATATTTCCTTTTCCAACACAGTCCTCCAAGCCCGCTAAATATCCACTTGCACATTGTAGAAAAAGTGTGTCGAAGCTGCGCTATCAAAGGGAAAGTTCAACTCTGTGAGGTGAATGCAAACATCCCAAAGAAGTTTTCTGAGAATGCTTCCGTTTAGCTTTTAGGAGAAGATTATCCCGTTTCCAACGAAACCTTCAAAGAGGTCCAAATATCCCCTTGCGGATCCCACAGAAAGAGTGTTTCGAAACTGCTGTTTCAAAAGGAATCTTCAACTCTGTGAGTTGAATGCAATCATCACAAAGAAGTTTCTGACAATGCTTCTCTCTCGTCTTTCTGTGAAGATAAAGGAAAAGGCTTTCAGGCCTTTGCCACCACAGGCCTGAAAGCACTCCAAATGTCCACTTGCAGATTCTGCGAAAAGAATATTTCAAAACTGCTCTATGAAAAGCAATGTTAAACTCTGTGGCTCGAACACAAACATCACAAAGCGGTTTTTGAGAATGTTTCAGTTTAGTTTTTCTGTGGAAATATTCCCGTTTCCAAAGAAATCTTCAAAGAGGTCCACGTATCCACTTACAGATTCTACAAAAAGACAGTTTCAAAACTGCTCCATCAAAAGGAGGGTTCAACTGTGTGACTTGAATGCAATCATCACTCAGAAGTTTCTGAGAATGCTTCTCTTTAGTTTTTACGTGAACATATACCCGTTTCGAACGAAGGCCAGCCAGTGGTCCAAATATCCACTTGCAGATTCTACAGAAAGAGTGTTTCGAACCTGAACTCTCAAAGGCAGGTTCATCTCTGCGAGTTGAATGCATTCATCATGAAGAACTTTCTCAGAGTGTTTGTGTTTAGTTATGGGAAATTATTCCCGTTTCCAACGAAATCCTCAGAGAGCTCCAAATATCCACCTGCAGATTCTACCAAAAGTGTATTTGGAAACTGCTCCATCAAAAGGCATGTTCAGCTCTGTGAGTGAAACTCCATCATCACAAAGAATATTCTGAGAATGCTTCCGTTTGCCTTTTATATGAAGTTCCTTCCTGTACTACCGTAGTCCTCAAAGCAGTCCAAATCTCCATTTGCAGATTCTACAAAAAGAGTGATTCCAATCTGCTCTATCAATAGGATTGTTCAACTCCATGAGTTGAATGCCATCCTCACAAAGTAGTTTCTGAGAATGCTTCTATCTGGTTTTTGTGTGAAGATATTTCCTTTTCCACCACAGGCCTCAAAGCCCTCCAAACGTCCACTTGCAGATTCTCGAAAAAGAGTGTTTCATAGCTGCTCTTTCAAAAGGAAAGTTCAACTCTGGGAGTTGAATACAAACATCACAAAATAGTTTCCGAGAATGCTTCTGTTTAGTTTTTATGTGAAGATGACCCCGTTTCCAGTGAAATCATCAAAGAGGTCCACATATCCCCTTGCAGATTCCAAAGAAAGAGGGTTTCAAAACTGCTCCATCAGAAGGATTGTTCAACTCTGTGAGTTGAATGCAGTCATCGCAGAAAACTTTCTGAGAATGCTTCTGTCTAGGTTTGATGTGAAGATATAGACGTTTCAAACGAAGGCTACAAAGTGGTCAAAATATACACTTGCAGATTCTACTACAAGGGTGTTGCAAACCTGAACTATCAAAGGAAGGTTCAACTCTGTGAGTTGAATACAAACATCACAAAGAATGTTCTGAGTTTGCTTCCGTTCAGTTATGGGAAGTTGATCCCGTTTCCAACGAAATCCTCAGAGAGGTCCAAATATCCCCTCGCAGATTCTACAAAACGTGTGTTTGGAAACTGCTCCATCATAACGAATGTTCAGCTCCCTGAGTTAAACTCCATCGTCACAAAGAATTTTCTGAGAGTGCTACCGTCTGGTTTTTATATGAAGTTCTTTCCTTCACTACCACAGGCCTCAAAGCGGTCCAAATCTCCACTTGCAGATTCTACAAAAAGAGTGTTTGCAAACTGCTCTATCAAAAGGAATGTTCAACTCTGGGAGTTGAATGCAATCATCACAGAGCAGTTTCTGAGAATGCTTCTATGTCGTTTTTAGAAGATATTTCCTTTTCCAACACAGTCCTCCAAGCCCGCTAAATAGCCACTTGCACATTGTAGAAAAAGTGTGTCAAAGCTGCGCTATCAAAGGGAAAGTTCAACTCTGTGAGGTGAATGCAAACATCCCAAAGAAGTTTCTGAGAATGCTTCCGTTTAGCTTTTAGGTGAAGATTATCCCGTTTCCAACGAAACCTTCAAAGAGGTCCAAATATCCCCTTGCGGATCCCACAGAAAGAGTGTTTCGAAACTGTTGTTTCAAAAGGAATCTTCAACTCTGTGAGTTGAATGCAATCATCACAAAGAAGTTTCTGACAATGCTTCTCTCTCGTCTTTCTGTGAAGATAAAGGAAAAGGCTTTCAGGCCTTTGCCACCACAGGCCTGAAAGCGCTCCAAATGTCCACTTGCAGATTCTGCGAAAAGAATATTTCAAAACTGCTCTATGAAAAGCAATGTTAAACTCTGTGGCTGGAACACAAACATCACAAAGCGGTTTCTGAGAATGCTTCAGTTTAGTTTTTCTGTGGAAATATTCCCGTTTCCAAAGAAATCTTCAAAGAGGTCCACGTATCCACTTACAGATTCTACAAAAAGACAGTTTCAAAACTGCTCCATCAAAAGGAGGGTTCAACCGTGTGACTTGAATGCAATCATCACTCAGAAGTTTCTGAGAATGCTTCTCTTTAGTTTTTACGTGAACATATACCCGTTTCGAACGAAGGCCAGCCAGTGGTCCAAATATCCACTTGCAGATTCTACAGAAAGAGTGTTTCGAACGTGAACTCTCAAAGGCAGGTTCATCTCTGCGAGTTGAATGCATTCATCATGAAGAACTTTCTCAGAGTGTTTGTGTTTAGTTATGGGAAATTATTCCCGTTTCCAACGAAATCCTCAGAGAGCTCCAAATATCCACCTGCAGATTCTACCAAAAGTGTATTTGGAAACTGCTCCATCAAAAGGCATGTTCAGCTCTGTCAGTGAAACTCCATCATCACAAAGAATATTCTGAGAATGCTTCCGTTTGCCTTTTATATGAACTTCCTTCCTGTACTACCGTAGGCCTCAAAGCAGTCCAAATCTCCATTTGCAGATTCTACAAAAAGAGTGATTCCAATCTGCTCTATCAATAGGATTGTTCAACTCCATGAGTTGAATGCCATCCTCACAAAGTAGTTTCTGAGAATGCTTCTATCTGGTTTTTGTGTGAAGATATTTCCTTTTCCACCACAGGCCTCAAAGCCCTCCAAACGTCCACTTGCAGATTCTCGAAAAAGAGTGTTTCATAGCTGCTCTTTCAAAAGGAAAGTTCAACTCTGGGAGTTGAATACAAACATCACAAAATAGTTTCCGAGAATGCTTCTGTTTAGTTTTTATGTGAAGATGATCCCGTTTCCAGTGAAATCTTCAAAGAGGTCCACATATCCCCTTGCAGATTCCAAAGAAAGAGGGTTTCAAAACTGCTCCATCAGAAGGATTGTTCAACTCTGTGAGTTGAATGCAGTCATCGCAGAAAACTTTCTGAGAATGCTTCTGTCTAGGTTTGATGTGAAGATATAGACGTTTCAAACGAAGGCTACAAAGTGGTCAAAATATACACTTGCAGATTCTACTACAAGGGTGTTGCAAACCTGAACTATCAAAGGAAGGTTCAACTCTGTGAGTTGAATACAAACATCACAAAGAATGTTCTGAGTTTGCTTCCGTTCAGTTATGGGAAGTTGATCCCGTTTCCAACGAAATCCTCAGAGAGGTCCAAATATCCCCTTGCAGATTCTACAAAACGTGTGTTTGGAAACTGCTCCATCATAACGAATGTTCAGCTCCCCGAGTTAAACTCCATCGTCACAAAGAATTTTCTGAGAGTGCTACCGTCTGGTTTTTATATGAAGTTCTTTCCTTCACTACCACAGGCCTCAAAGCGGTCCAAATCTCCACTTGCAGATTCTACAAAAAGAGTGTTTGCAAACTGCTCTATCAAAAGGAATGTTCAACTCTGGGAGTTGAATGCAATCATCACAGAGCAGTTTCTGAGAATGCTTCTATGTCGTTTTTAGGAGAAGATATTTCCTTTTCCAACACAGTCCTCCAAGCCCGCTAAATAGCCACTTGCACATTGTAGAAAACGTGTGTCAAAGCTGCGCTATCAAAGGGAAAGTTCAACTCTGTGAGGTGAATGCAAACATCCCAAAGAAGTTTCTGAGAATGCTTCCGTTTAGCTTTTAGGTGAAGATTATCCCGTTTCCAACGAAACCTTCAAAGAGGTCCAAATATCCCCTTGCGGATCCCACAGAAAGAGAGTTTCGAAACTGCTGTTTCAAAAGGAATCTTCAACTCTGTGAGTTGAATGCAATCATCACAAAGAAGTTTCTGACAATGCTTCTCTCTCGTCTTTCTGTGAAGATAAAGGAAAAGGCTTTCAGGCCTTTTCCACCACAGGCCTGAAAGCGCTCCAAATGTCCACTTGCAGATTCTGCCAAAAGAATATTTCAAAACTGCTCTATGAAAAGCAATGTTAAACTCTGCGGCTCGAACACAAACATCACAAAGCGGTTTCTGAGAATGCTTCAGTTTAGTTTTTCTGTGGAAATATTCCCGTTTCCAAAGAAATCTTCAAAGAGGTCCACGTATCCACTTACAGATTCTACAAAAAGACAGTTTCAAAACTGCTCCATCAAAAGGAGGGTTCAACTGTGTGACTTGAATGCAATCATCACTCACAAGTTTCTGAGAATGCTTCTCTTTAGTTTTTACGTGAACATATACCCGTTTCGAACGAAGGCCACCCAGTGGTCCAAATATCCACTTGCAGATTCTACAGAAAGAGTGTTTCGAACCTGAACTCTCAAAGGCAGGTTCATCTCTGCGAGTTAAATGCATTCATCATGAAGAACTTTCTCAGAGTGTTTGTGTTTAGTTATGGGAAATTATTCCCGTTTCCAACGAAATCCTCAGAGAGCTCCAAATATCCACCTGCAGATTCTACCAAAAGTGTATTTGGAAACTGCTCCATCAAAAGGCATGTTCAGCTCTGTGAGTGAAACTCCATCATCACAAAGAATATTCTGAGAATGCTTCCGTTTGCCTTTTATATGAAGTTCCTTCCTATACGACCGTAGGCCTCAAAGCAGTCCAAATCTCCATTTGCAGATTCTACAAAAAGAGTGATTCCAATCTGCTCTATCAATAGGATTGTTCAACTCCATGAGTTGAATGCCATCCTCACAAAGCAGTTTCTGAGAATGCTTCTATCTAGTTTTTATGTGAAGATATTTCCTTTTCCACCACAGGCCTCCAAGCCCTCCAAACGTCCACTTGCAGATTCTCGAAAAAGAGTGTTTCATAGCTGCTCTTTCAAAAGGAAAGTTCAACTCTGGGAGTTGAATACAAACATCACAAAGTAGTTTCCGAGAATGCTTCTGTTTAGTTTTTATGTGAAGATGATCCCGTTTCCAGTGAAATCTTCAAAGAGGTCCACATATCCCCTTGCAGATTCCAAAGAAAGAGGGTTTCAAAACTGCTCCATCAGAAGGATTGTTCAACTCTGTGAGTTGAATGCAGTCATCGCAGAAAACTTTCTGAGAATGCTTCTGTCTAGGTTTGATGTGAAGATATAGACGTTTCAAATGAAGGCTACAAAGTGGTCAAAATATACACTTGCAGATTCTACTACAAGGGTGTTGCAAACCTGAACTATCAAAGGAAGGTTCAACTCTGTGAGTTGAATACAAACATCACAAAGAATGTTCTGAGTTTGCTTCCGTTCAGTTATGGGAAGTTGATCCCGTTTCCAACGAAATCCTCAGAGAGGTCCAAATATCCCCTTGCAGATTCTACAAAACGTGTGTTTGGAAACTGCTCCATCATAACGAATGTTCAGCTCCCTGAGTTAAACTCCATCGTCACAAAGAATTTTCTGAGAGTGCTACCGTCTGGTTTTTATATGAAGTTCTTTCCTTCACTACCACTGGTCTCAAAGCGGTCCAAATCTCCACTTGCAGATTCTACAAAAAGAGTGTTTGCAAACTGCTCTATAAAAAGGAATGTTCAACTCTGGGAGTTGAATGCAATCATCACAGAGCAGTTTCTGAGAATGCTTCTATGTCGTTTTTAGGAGAAGATATTTCCTTTTCCAACACAGTCCTCCAAGCCCGCTAAATAGCCACTTGCACATTGTAGAAAAAGTGTGTCAAAGCTGCGCTATCAAAGGGAAAGTTCAACTCTGTGAGGTGAATGCAAACATCCCAAAGAAGTTTCTGAGAATGCTTCCGTTTAGCTTTTAGGTGAAGATTATCCCGTTTCCAACGAAACCTTCAAAGAGGTCCAAATATCCCCTTGCGGATCCCACAGAAAGAGTGTTTCGAAACTGCTGTTTCAAAAGGAATCTTCAACTCTGTGAGTTGAATGCAATCATCACAAAGAAGTTTCTGACAATGCTTCTCTCTCGTCTTCCTGTGAAGATAAAGGAAAAGGCTTTCAGGCCTTTTCCACCACAGGCCTGAAAGCGCTCCAAATGTCCACTTGCAGATTCTGCCAAAAGAATATTTCAAAACTGCTCTATGAAAAGCAATGTTAAACTCTGTGGCTCGAACACAAACATCACAAAGCAGTTTCTGAGAATGCTTCAGTTTAGTTTTTCTGTGGAAATATTCCCGTTTCCAAAGAAATCTTCAAAGAGGTCCACGTATCCACTTACAGATTCTACAAAAAGACAGTTTCAAAACTGCTCCATCAAAAGGAGGGTTCAACTGTGTGACTTGAATGCAATCATCACTCAGAAGTTTCTGAGAATGCTTCTCTTTAGTTTTTACGTGAACATATACCCGTTTTGAACGAAGGCCACCCAGTGGTCCAAATATCCACTTGCAGATTCTACAGAAAGAGTGTTTCGAACCTGAACTCTCAAAGGCAGGTTCATCTCTGCGAGTTAAATGCATTCATCATGAAGAACTTTCTCAGAGTGTTTGTGTTTAGTTATGGGAAATTATTCCCGTTTCCAACGAAATCCTCAGAGAGCTCCAAATATCCACCTGCAGTTTCTACCAAAAGTGTAGTTGGAAACTGCTCCATCAAAAGGCATGTTCAGCTCTGTGAGTGAAACTCCATCATCACAAAGAATATTCTGAGAATGCTTCCGTTTGCCTTTTATATGAAGTTCCTTCCTGTACTACCGTAGGCCTCAAAGCAGTCCAAATCTCCATTTGCAGATTCTACAAAAAGAGTGATTCCAATCTGCTCTATCAATAGGATTGTTCAACTCCATGAGTTGAATGCCATCCTCACAAAGTAGTTTCTGAGAATGCTTCTATCTAGTTTTTATGTGAAGATATTTCCTTTTCCACCACAGGCCTCAAAGCCCTCCAAACGTCCACTTGCAGATTCTCGAAAAAGAGTGTTTCATAGCTGCTCTTTCAAAAGGAAAGTTCAACTCTGGGAGTTGAATACAAACATCACAAAGTAGTTTCCGAGAATGCTTCTGTTTAGTTTTTATGTGAAGATGATCCCGTTTCCAGTGAAATCTTCAAAGAGGTCCACATATCCCCTTGCAGATTCCAAAGAAAGAGGGTTTCAAAACTGCTCCATCAGAAGGATTGTTCAACTCTGTGAGTTGAATGCAGTCATCGCAGAAAACTTTCTGAGAATGCTTCTGTCTAGGTTTGATGTGAAGATATAGACGTTTCAAACGAAGGCTACAAAGTGGTCAAAATATACACTTGCAGATTCTACTACAAGGGTGTTGCAAACCTGAACTATCAAAGGAAGGTTCAACTCTGTGAGTTGAATACAAACATCACAAAGAATGTTCTGAGTTTGCTTCTGTTCAGTTATGGGATGTTGATCCCGTTTCCAACGAAATCCTCAGAGAGGTCCAAATATCCCCTTGCAGATTCTACAAAACGTGTGTTTGGAAACTGCTCCATCATAACGAATGTTCAGCTCCCTGAGTTAAACTCCATCGTCACAAAGAATTTTCTGAGAGTGCTACCGTCTGGTTTTTATATGAAGCTCTTTCCTTCACTACCACAGGCCTCAAAGCGGTCCAAATCTCCACTTGCAGATTCTACAAAAAGAGTGTTTGCAAACTGCTCTATCAAAAGGAATGTTCAACTCTGGGAGTTGAATGCAATCATCACAGAGCAGTTTCTGAGAATGCTTCTATGTCGTTTTTAGGAGAAGATATTTCCTTTTCCAACACAGTCCTCCAAGCCCGCTAAATAGCCACTTGCACATTGTAGAAAAAGTGTGTCGAAGCTGCGCTATCAAAGGGAAAGTTCAACTCTGTGAGGTGAATGCAAACATCCCAAAGAAGTTTCTGAGAATGCTTCCGTTTAGCTTTTAGGTGAAGATTATCCCGTTTCCAACGAAACCTTCAAAGAGGTCCAAATATCCCCTTGCGGATCCCACAGAAAGAGTGTTTCGAAACTGCTGTTTCAAAAGGAATCTTCAACTCTGTGAGTTGAATGCAATCATCACAAAGAAGTTTCTGACAATGCTTCTCTCTCGTCTTTCTGTGAAGATAAAGGAAAAGGCTTTCAGGCCTTTTCCACCACAGGCCTGAAAGCGCTCCAAATGTCCACTTGCAGATTCTGCGAAAAGAATATTTCAAAACTGCTCTATGAAAAGCAATGTTAAACTCTGTGGCTCGAACACAAACATCACAAAGCGGTTTCTGAGAATGCTTCAGTTTAGTTTTTCTGTGGAAATATTCCCGTTTCCAAAGAAATCTTCAAAGAGGTCCACGTATCCACTTACAGATTCTACAAAAAGACAGTTTCAAAACTGCTCCATCAAAAGGAGGGTTCAACTGTGTGACTTGAATGCAATCATCACTCAGAAGTTTCTGAGAATGCTTCTCTTTAGTTTTTACGTGAACATATACCCGTTTCGAACGAAGGCCAGCCAGTGGTCCAAATATCCACTTGCAGATTCTACAGAAAGAGTGTTTCGAACCTGAACTCTCAAAGGCAGGTTCATCTCTGCGAGTTAAATGCATTCATCATGAAGAACTTTCTCAGAGTGTTTGTGTTTAGTTATGGGAAATTATTCCCGTTTCCAACGAAATCCTCAGAGAGCTCCAAATATCCACCTGCAGATTCTACCAAAAGTGTATTTGGAAACTGCTCCATCAAAAGGCATGTTCAGCTCTGTGAGTGAAACTCCATCATCACAAAGAATATTCTGAGAATGCTTCCGTTTGCCTTTTATATGAAGTTCCTTCCTATACGACCGTAGGCCTCAAAGCAGTCCAAATCTCCATTTGCAGATTCTACAAAAAGAGTGATTCCAATCTGCTCTATCAATAGGATTGTTCAACTCCATGAGTTGAATGCCATCCTCACAAAGTAGTTTCTGAGAATGCTTCTATCTAGTTTTTATGTGAAGATATTTCCTTTTCCACCACAGGCCTCAAAGCCCTCCAAACGTCCACTTGCAGATTCTCGAAAAAGAGTGTTTCATAGCTGCTCTTTCAAAAGGAAAGTTCAACTCTGGGAGTTGAATACAAACATCACAAAGTAGTTTCCGAGAATGCTTCTGTTTAGTTTTTATGTGAAGATGATCCCGTTTCCAGTGAAATCTTCAAAGAGGTCCACATATCCCCTTGCATATTGCAAAGAAAGAGGGTTTCAAAACTGCTCCATCAGAAGGATTGTTCAACTCTGTGAGTTGAATGCAGTCATCGCAGAAAACTTTCTGAGAATGCTTCTGTCTAGGTTTGATGTGAAGATATAGACGTTTCAAACGAAGGCTACAAAGTGGTCAAAATATACACTTGCAGATTCTACTACAAGGGTGTTGCAAACCTGAACTATCAAAGGAAGGTTCAACTCTGTGAGTTGAATACAAACATCACAAAGAATGTTCTGAGTTTGCTTCCGTTCAGTTATGGGAAGTTGATCCCGTTTCCAACGAAATCCTCAGAGAGGTCCAAATATCCCCTTGCAGATTCTACAAAACGTGTGTTTGGAAACTGCTCCATCATAACGAATGTTCAGCTCCCTGAGTTAAACTCCATCGTCACAAAGAATTTTCTGAGAGTGCTACCGTCTGGTTTTTATATGAAGTTCTTTCCTTCACTACCACAGGCCTCAAAGCGGTCCAAATCTCCACTTGCAGATTCTACAAAAAGAGTGTTTGCAAACTGCTCTATCAAAAGGAATGTTCAACTCTGGGAGTTGAATGCAATCATCACAGAGCAGTTTCTGAGAATGCTTCTATGTCGTTTTTAGGAGAAGATATTTCCTTTTCCAACACAGTCCTCCAAGCCCGCTAAATAGCCACTTGCACATTGTAGAAAAAGTGTGTCAAAGCTGCGCTATCAAAGGGAAAGTTCAACTCTGTGAGGTGAATGCAAACATCCCAAAGAAGTTTCTGAGAATGCTTCCGTTTAGCTTTTAGGTGAAGATTATCCCGTTTCCAACCAAACCTTCAAAGAGGTCCAAATATCCCCTTGCGGATCCCACAGAAAGAGTGTTTCGAAACTGCTGTTTCAAAAGGAATCTTCAACTCTGTGAGTTGAATGCAATCATCACAAAGAAGTTTCTGACAATGCTTCTCTCTCGTCTTTCTGTGAAGATAAAGGAAAAGGCTTTCAGGCCTTTGCCACCACAGGCCTGAAAGCGGTCCAAATGTCCACTTGCAGATTCTGCCAAAAGAATATTTCAAAACTGCTCTATGAAAAGCAATGTTAAACTCTGCGGCTCGAACACAAACATCACAAAGCGGTTTCTGAGAATGCTTCAGTTTAGTTTTTCTGTGGAAATATTCCCGTTTCCAAAGAAATCTTCAAAGAGGTCCACGTATCCACTTACAGATTCTACAAAAAGACAGTTTCAAAACTGCTCCATCAAAAGGAGGGTTCAACTGTGTGACTTGAATGCAATCATCACTCAGAAGTTTCTGAGAATGCTTCTCTTTAGTTTTTACGTGAACATATACCCGTTTCGAACGAAGGCCACCCAGTGGTCCAAATATCCACTTGCAGATTCTACAGAAAGAGTGTTTCGAACCTGAACTCTCAAAGGCAGGTTCATCTCTGCGAGTTAAATGCATTCATCATGAAGAACTTTCTCAGCGTGTTTGTGTTTAGTTATGGGAAATTATTCCCGTTTCCAACGAAATCCTCAGAGAGGTTCAAATATCCACCTGCAGATTCTACGAAAAGTGTATTTGGAAACTGCTCCATCAAAAGGCATGTTCAGCTCTGTGTGTGAAACTCCATCATCACAAAGAATATTCTGAGAATGCCTCCGTTTGCCTTTTATATGAAGTTCCTTCCTATACTACCGTAGGCCTCAAAGCAGTCCAAATCTCCATTTGCAGATTCTACAAAAAGAGTGATTCCAATCTGCTCTATCAATAGGACTGTTCAACTCCATGAGTTGAATGCCATCCTCACAAAGTCGTTTCTGAGAATGCTTCTATCTAGTTTTTATGTGAAGATATTTCCTTTTCCACCACAGGCCTCAAAGCCCTCCAAACGTCCACTTGCAGATTCTCGAAAAAGAGTGTTTCATACCTGCTCTTTCAAAAGGAAAGTTCAACTCTGGGAGTTGAATACAAACATCACAAAGTAGTTTCCGAGAATGCTTCTGTTTAGTTCTTATGTGAAGATGATCCCGTTTCCAGTGAAATCTTCAAAGAGGTCCACATATCCCCTTGCAGATTCCAAAGAAAGAGGGTTTCAAAACTGCTCCATCAAAAGGATTGTTCAACTCTGTGAGTTGAATGCAGTCATCGCAGAAAACTTTCTGAGAATGCTTCTGTCTAGGTTTGATGTGAAGATATAGACGTTTCAAACGAAGGCTACAAAGTGGTCAAAATATACACTTGCAGATTCTACTACAAGGGTGATGCAAACCTCAACTATCAAAGGAAGGTTCAACTCTGTGAGATGAATGCAACCATCACAAAAAATGTTCTGAGTTTGCTTCCGTTTAGTTATGGGAAATTGATACCGTTTCCAACGAAATCCTCAGAGAGGTCCAAATATCCCCTTGCAGATTCTACAAAACGTGTGTTTGGAAACTGCTCCATCATAACGAATGTTCAGCTCTCTGAGTTAAACTCCATCGTCACAAAGAATTTTCTGAGAGTGCTACCGTCTAGTTTTTATATGAAGTTCTTTCCTTTACTACCACAGGCCTCAAAGCGGTCCAAATCTCCACTTGCAGATTCTACAAAAAGAGTGTTTGCAAACTGCTCTATCAAAAGGAATGTTCAACTCTGGGAGTTGAATGCAATCATCACAGAGCAGTTTCTGAGAATGCTTCTATGTCGTTTTTAGGAGAAGATATTTCCTTTTCCAACACAGTCCTCCAAGCCCGCTAAATATCCACTTGCACATTGTAGAAAAAGTGTGTCGAAGCTGCGCTATCAAAGGGAAAGTTCAACTCTGTGAGGTGAATGCAAACATCCCAAAGAAGTTTCTGAGAATGCTTCCGTTTTGCTTTAAGTGAAGATTATCCCGTTTCCAACGAAATCTTCAAAGAGGTCCAAATATCCCCTTGCGGATCCCACAGAAAGAGTGTTTCGAAACTGCTGTTTCAAAAGGAATCTTCAACTCTGTGAGTTGAATGCAATCATCACAAAGAAGTTTCTGACAATGCTTCTCTCTCGTCTTTCTGTGAAGATAAAGGAAAAGGCTTTCAGGCCATTTCCACCACAGGCCTGAAAGCGCTCCAAATGTCCACTTGCAGATTCTGCCAAAAGAATATTTCAAAACTGCTCTATGAAAAGCAATGTTAAACTCTGCGGCTCGAACACAAACATCACAAAGCAGTTTCTGAGAATGCTTCAGTTTAGTTTTTCTGTGGAAATATTCCCGTTTCCAAAGAAATCTTCAAAGAGGTCCACACATCCACTTACAGATTCTACAAAAAGACAGTTTCAAAACTGCTCAATCAAAAGGAGGGTTCAACTGTGTGACTTGAATGCATTCATCACTCAGAAGTTTCTGAGAACGCTTCTCTTTAGTTTTTACGTGAACATATACCCGTTTCGAACGAAGGCCAGCCAGTGGTCCAAATATCCACTTGCAGATTCTACAGAAAGAGTGTTTTGAACCTGAACTCTCAAAGGCAGGTTCATCTCTGCGAGTTAAATGCATTCATCATGAAGAACTTTCTCAGCGTGTTTGTGTTTAGTTATGGGAAATTATTCCCGTTTCCAACGAAATCCTCAGAGAGCTCCAAATATCCACCTGCAGATTCTACCAAAAGTGTATTTGGAAACTGCTCCATGAAAAGGCATGTTCAGCTCTGTGAGTGAAACTCCGTCATCACAAAGAATATTCTGAGAATGCTTCCGTTTGCCTTTTATATGAAGTTCCTTCCTATACTACCGTAGGCCTCAAAGCAGTCCAAATCTCCATTTGCAGATTCTACAAAAAGAGTGATTCCAATCTGCTCTATCAATAGGATTGTTCAACTCCATGAGTTGAATGCCATCCTCACAAAGTCGTTTCTGAGAATGCTTCTATCTAGTTTTTATGTGAAGATATTTCCTTTTCCACCACAGGCCTCAAAGCCCTCCAAACGTCCACTTGCAGATTCTCGAAAAAGAGTGTTTCATAGCTGCTCTTTCAAAAGGAAAGTTCAACTCTGGGAGTTGAATACAAACATCACAAAGTAGTTTCCGAGAATGCTTCTGTTTAGTTCTTATGTGAAGATGATCCCGTTTCCAGTGAAATCTTCAAAGAGGTCCACATATCCCCTTGCAGATTCCAAAGAAAGAGGGTTTCAAAACTGCTCCATCAAAAGGATTGTTCAACTCTGTGAGTTGAATGCAGTCATCGCAGAAAACTTTCTGAGAATGCTTCTGTCTAGGTTTGAGGTGAAGATATAGACGTTTCAAACGAAGGCTACAAAGTGGTCAAAATATACACTTGCAGATTCTACTACAAGGGTGTTGCAAACCTCAACTATCAAAGGAAGGTTCAACTCTGTGAGTTGAATACAAACATCACAAAGAATGTTCTCAGTTTGCTTCTGTTCAGTTATGGGAAGTTGATCGGGTTTCCAACGAAATCCTCAGAGAGGTCCAAATATCCCCTTGCAGATTCTACAAAACGTGTGTTTGGAAACTGCTCCATCATAACGAATGTTCAGCTCTCTGAGTTAAACTCCATCGTCACAAAGAATTTTCTGAGAGTGCTACCGTCTGGTTTTTATATGAAGTTCTTTCCTTTACTACCACAGGCCTCAAAGCGGTCCAAATCTCCACTTGCAGATTCTACAAAAAGAGTGTTTGCAAACTGCTCTATCAAAAGGAATGTTCAACTCTGGGAGTTGAATGCAATCATCACAGAGCAGTTTCTGAGAATGCTTCTATGTCGTTTTTAGGAGAAGATATTTCCTTTTCCAACACAGTCCTCCAAGCCCGCTAAATATCCACTTGCACATTGTAGAAAAAGTGTGTCGAAGCTGCGCTATCAAAGGGAAAGTTCAACTCTGTGAGGTGAATGCAAACATCCCAAAGAAGTTTCTGAGAATGCTTCCGTTTAGCTTTTAGGTGAAGATTATCCCGTTTCCAACGAAATCTTCAAAGAGGTCCAAATATCCCCTTGCGGATCCCACAGAAAGAGTGTTTCGAAACTGCTGTTTCAAAAGGAATCTTCAACTCTGTGAGTTGAATGCAATCATCACAAAGAAGTTTCTGACAATGCTTCTCTCTCGTCTTTCTGTGAAGATAAAGGAAAAGGCTTTCAGGCCTTTTCCACCACAGGCCTGAAAGCGCTCCAAATGTCCACTTGCAGATTCTGCCAAAAGAATATTTCAAAACTGCTCTATGAAAAGCAATGTTAAACTCTGTGGCTCGAACAAAAACATCACAAAGCAGTTTCTGAGAATGCTTCAGTTTACTTTTTCTGTGGAAATATTCCCGTTTCCAAAGAAATCTTCAAAGAGGTCCACGCATCCACTTACAGATTCTACAAAAAGACAGTTTCAAAACTGCTCAATCAAAAGAAGGGTTCAACTGTGTGACTTGAATGCAATCATCACTCAGAAGTTTCTGAGAACGCTTCTCTTTAGTTTTTACGTGAACATATACCCGTTTCGAACGAAGGCCAGCCAGTGGTCCAAATATCCACTTGCAGATTCTACAGAAAGAGTGTTTCGAACCTGAACTCTCAAAGGCAGGTTCATCTCTGCGAGTTAAATGCATTCATCATGAAGAACTTTCTCAGCGTGTTTGTGTTTAGTTATGGGAAATTATTCCCGTTTCCAACTAAATCCTCAGAGAGGTCCAAATATCCACCTGCAGATTCTACCAAAAGTGTATTTGGAAACTGCTCCATCAAAAGGCATGTTCAGCTCTGTGAGTGAAACTCCATCATCGCAAAGAATATTCTGAGAATGCTTCCGTTTGCCTTTTATATGAAGTTCCTTCCTATACTACCGTAGGCCTCAAAGCAGTCCAAATCTCCATTTGCAGATTCTACAAAAAGAGTGATTCCAATCTGCTCTATCAATAGGATTGTTCAACTCCATGAGTTGAATGCCATCCTCACAAAGTCGTTTCTGAGAATGCTTCTATCTAGTTTTTATGTGAAGATATTTCCTTTTCCACCACAGGCCTCAAAGCCCTCCAAACGTCCACTTGCAGATTCTCGAAAAAGAGTGTTTCATAGCTGCTCTTTCAAAAGGAAAGTTCAACTCTGGGAGTTGAATACAAACATCACAAAATAGTTTCCGAGAATGCTTCTGTTTAGTTTTTATGTGAAGATGATCCCGTTTCCAGTGAAATCTTCAAAGAGGTCCACATATCCCCTTGCAGATTCCAAAGAAAGAGGGTTTAAAAACTGCTCCATCAGAAGGATTGTTCAACTCTGTGAGTTGAATGCAGTCATCGCAGAAAACTTTCTGAGAATGCTTCTGTCTAGGTTTGATGTGAAGATATAGACGTTTCAAACGAAGGCTACAAAGTGGTCAAAATATACACTTGCAGATTCTACTACAAGGGTGTTGCAAACCTGAACTATCAAAGGAAGGTTCAACTCTGTGAATTGAATACAAACATCACAAAGAATGTTCTGAGTTTGCTTCCGTTCAGTTATGGGAAGTTGATCCCGTTTCCAACGAAATCCTCAGAGAGGTCCAAATATCCCCTCGCAGATTCTACAAAACGTGTGTTTGGAAACTGCTCCATCATAACGAATGTTCAGCTCCCTGAGTTAAACTCCATCGTCACAAAGAATTTTCTGAGAGTGCTACCGTCTGGTTTTTATATGAAGTTCTTTCCTTCACTACCACAGGCCTCAAAGCGGTCCAAATCTCCACTTGCAGATTCTACAAAAAGAGTGTTTGCAAACTGCTCTATCAAAAGGAATGTTCAACTCTGGGAGTTGAATGCAATCATCACAGAGCAGTTTCTGAGAATGCTTCTATGTCGTTTTTAGGAGAAGATATTTCCTTTTCCAACACAGTCCTCCAAGCCCGCTAAATAGCCACTTGCACATTGTAGAAAAAGTGTGTCAAAGCTGCGCTATCAAAGGGAAAGTTCAACTCTGTGAGGTGAATGCAAACATCCCAAAGAAGTTTCTGAGAATGCTTCCGTTTAGCTTTTAGGTGAAGATTATCCCGTTTCCAACGAAACCTTCAAAGAGGTCCAAATATCCCCTTGCGGATCCCACAGAAAGAGTGTTTCGAAACTGCTGTTTCAAAAGGAATCTTCAACTCTGTGAGTTGAATGCAATCATCACAAAGAAGTTTCTGACAATGCTTCTCTCTCGTCTTTCTGTGAAGATAAAGGAAAAGGCTTTCAGGCCTTTTCCACCACAGGCCTGAAAGCGCTCCAAATGTCCACTTGCAGATTCTGCCAAAAGAATATTTCAAAACTGCTCTATGAAAAGCAGTGTTAAACTCTGTGGCTCGAACACAAACATCACAAAGCAGTTTCTGAGAATGCTTCAGTTTAGTTTTTCTGTGGAAATATTCCCGTTTCCAAAGAAATCTTCAAAGAGGTCCACGCATCCACTTACAGATTCTACAAAAAGACAGTTTCAAAACTGCTCAATCAAAAGGAGGGTTTAACTGTGTGACTTGAATGCAATCATCACTCAGAAGTTTCTGAGAATGCTTCTCTTTAGTTTTTACGTGAACATATACCCGTTTCGAACGAAGGCCACCCAGTGGTCCAAATATCCACTTGCAGACTCTACAGAAAGAGTGTTTCGAACCTGAACTCTCAAAGGCAGGTTCATCTCTGCGAGTTAAATGCATTCATCATGAAGAACTTTCTCAGCGTGTTTGTGTTTAGTTATTGGAAATTATTCCCGTTTCCAACGAAATCCTCAGAGAGGTCCAAATATCCACCTGTAGATTCTACCAAAAGTGTATTTGGAAACTGCTCCATCAAAAGGAATGTTCAGCTCTGTGAGTGAAACTCCATCATCACAAAGAATATTCTGAGAATGCTTCCATTTGCCTTTTATATGAAGTTCCTTCCTATACTACCGTAGGCCTCAAAGCAGTCCAAATCTCCATTTGCAGATTCTACAAAAATAGTGATTCCAATCTGCTCTATCAATAGGACTGTTCAACTCCATGAGTTGAATGCCATCCTCACAAAGTAGTTTCTGAGAATGTTTCTATCTAGTTTTTATGTGAAGATATTTCCTTTTCCACCACAGGCCTCAAAGCCCTCCAAACGTCCACTTGCAGATTCTCGAAAAAGAGTGTTTCATAGCTGCTCTTTCAAAAGGAAAGTTCAACTCTGGGAGCTGAATACAAACATCACAAAGTAGTTTCCGAGAATGCTTCTGTTTAGTTCTTATGTGAAGATGATCCCGTTTCCAGTGAAATCTTCAAAGAGGTCCACATATCCCCTTGCAGATTCCAAAGAAAGAGGGTTTCAAAACTGCTCCATCAAAAGGATTGTTCAACTCTGTGAGTTGAATGCAGTCATCGCAGAAAACTTTCTGAGAATGCTTCTGTCTAGGTTAGATGGGAAGATATAGACGTTTCAAACGAAGGCTACAAAGTGGTCAAAATATACACTTGCAGATTCTACTACAAGGGTGATGCAAACCTGAACTATCAAAGGAAGGTTCAACTCTGTGAGTTGAATACAAACATCACAAAGAATGTTCTGAGTTTGCTTCCGTTCAGTTATGGGAAGTTGATCCCGTTTCCAACGAAATCCTCAGAGAGGTCCAAATATCCCCTTGCAGATTCTACAAAACGTGTGTTTGGAAACTGCTCCATCATAACGAATGTTCAGCTCTCTGAGTTAAACTCCATCGTCACAAAGAATTTTCTGAGAGTGCTACCGTCTAGTTTTATATGAAGTTCTTTCCTTTACTACCACCGGCCTCAAAGCGGTCCAAATCTCCACTTGCAGATTCTACAAAAAGAGTGTTTGCAAACTGCTCTATCAAAAGGAATGTTCAACTCTGGGAGTTGAATGCAATCATCACAGAGCAGTTTCTGAGAATGCTTCTATGTCGTTTTTAGGAGAAGATATTTCCTTTTCCAACACAGTCCTCCAAGCCCGCTAAATATCCACTTGCACATTGTAGAAAAAGTGTGTCGAAGCTGCGCTATCAAAGGGAAAGTTCAACTCTGTGAGGTGAATGCAAACATCCCAAAGAAGTTTCTGAGAATGCTTCCGTTTAGCTTTTAGGTGAAGATTATCCCGTTTCCAACGAAATCTTCAAAGAAGTCCAAATATCCCCTTGCGGATCCCACAGAAAGAGTGTTTCGAAACTGCTGTTTCAAAAGGAATCTTCAACTCTGTGAGTTGAATGCAATCATCACAAAGAAGTTTCTGACAATGCTTCTCTCTCGTCTTTCTGTGAAGATAAAGGAAAAGGCTTTCAGGCCTTTTCCACCACAGGCCTGAAAGCGCTCCAAATGTCCACTTGCAGATTCTGCCAAAAGAATATTTCAAAACTGCTCTATGAAAAGCAATGTTAAACTCTGCGGCTCGAACACAAACATCACAAAGCAGTTTCAGAGAATGCTTCAGTTTAGTTTTTCTGTGGAAATATTCCTGTTTCCAAAGAAATCTTCAAAGAGGTCCACGCATCCACTTACAGATTCTACAAAAAGACAGTTTCAAAACTGCTCAATCAAAAGGAGGGTTCAACTGTGTGACTTGAATGCAATCATCACTCAGAAGTTTCTGAGAACGCTTCTCTTTAGTTTTTACGTGAACATATACCCGTTTCGAACGAAGGCCAGCCAGTGGTCCAAATATCCACTTGCAGATTCTACAGAAAGAGTGTTTCGAACCTGAACTCTCAAAGGCAGGTTCATCTCTGCGAGTTAAATGCATTCATCATGAAGAACTTTCTCAGCGTGTTTGTGTTTATTTATGGGAAATTATTCCCGTTTCCAACGAAATCCTCAGAGAGCTCCAAATATCCACCTGCAGATTCTACCAAAAGTGTATTTGGAAACTGCTCCATCAAAAGGCATGTTCAGCTCTGTGAGTGAAACTCCATCATCACAAAGAATATTCTGAGAATGCTTCCGTTTGCCTTTTATATGAAGTTCCTTCCTATACTACCGTAGGCCTCAAAGCAGTCCAAATCTCCATTTGCAGATTCTACAAAAAGAGTGATTCCAATCTGCTCTATCAATAGGACTGTTCAACTCCATGAGTTGAATGCCATCCTCACAAAGTAGTTTCTGAGAATGCTTCTATCTAGTTTTTATGTGAAGATATTTCCTTTTCCACCACAGGCCCCAAAGCCCTCCAAACGTCCACTTGCAGATTCTCGAAAAAGAGTGTTTCATAGCTGCTCTTTCAAAAGGAAAGTTCAACTCTGGGAGCTGAATACAAACATCACAAAGTAGTTTCCGAGAATGCTTCTGTTTAGTTCTTATGTGCAGATGATCCCGTTTCCAGTGAAATCTTCAAAGAGGTCCACATATCCCCTTGCAGATTCCAAAGAAAGAGGGTTTCAAAACTGCTCCATCAAAAGGATTGTTCAACTCTGTGAGTTGAATGCAGTCATCGCAGAAAACTTTCTGAGAATGCTTCTGTCTAGGTTTGAGGTGAAGATATAGACGTTTCAAACGAAGGCTACAAAGTGGTCAAAATATACACTTGCAGATTCTACTACAAGGGTGTTGCAAACCTGAACTATCAAAGGAAGGTTCAACTCTGTGAGTTGAATACAAACATCACAAAGAATGTTCTGAGTTTGCTTCCATTCAGTTATGGGAAGTTGATCCCGTTTCCAACGAAATCCTCAGAGAGGTCCAAATATCCCCTTGCAGATTCTACAAAACGTGTGTTTGGAAACTGCTCCATCATAACGAATGTTCAGCTCTCTGAGTTAAACTCCATCGTCACAAAGAATTTTCTGAGAGTGCTACCGTCTGGTTTTTATATGAAGTTGTTTCCTTTACTACCACAGGCCTCAAAGCGGTCCAAATCTCCACTTGCAGATTCTACAAAAAGAGTGTTTGCAAACTGCTCTATCAAAAGGAATGTTCAACTCTGGGAGTTGAATGCAATCATCACAGAGCAGTTTCTGAGAATGCTTCTATGTCGTTTTTAGGAGAAGATATTTCCTTTTCCAACACAGTCCTCCAAGCCCGCTAAATATCCACTTGCACATTGTAGAAAAAGTGTGTCGAAGCTGCGCTATCAAAGGGAAAGTTCAACTCTGTGAGGTGAATGCAAACATCCCAAAGAAGTTTCTGAGAATGCTTCCGTTTAGCTTTTAGGTGAAGATTATCCCGTTTCCAACGAAATCTTCAAAGAGGTCCAAATATCCCCTTGCGGATCCCACAGAAAGAGTGTTTCGAAACTGCTGTTTCAGAAGGAATCTTCAACTCTGTGAGTTGAATGCAATCATCACAAAGAAGTTTCTGACAATGCTTCTCTCTCGTCTTTCTGTGAAGATAAAGGAAAAGGCTTTCAGGCCTTTTCCACCACAGGCCTGAAAGCGCTCCAAATGTCCACTTGCAGATTCTGCCAAAAGAATATTTCAAAACTGCTCTATGAAAAGCAATGTTAAACTCTGCGGCTCGAACACAAACATCACAAAGCAGTTTCTGAGAATGCTTCAGTTTAGTTTTTCTGTGGAAATATTCCCGTTTCCAAAGAAATCTTCAAAGAGGTCCACGTATCCACTTACAGATTCTACAAAAAGACAGTTTCAAAACTGCTCCATCAAAAGGAGGGTTCAACCGTGTGACTTGAATGCAATCATCACGCAGAAGTTTCTGAGAATGCTTCTCTTTAGTTTTTACGTGAACATATACCCATTTCGAACGAAGGCCACACAGTGGTCCAAATATCCACTTGCAGATTCTACAGAAAGAGTGTTTCAAACCTGAAATCTCAAAGGAAGGTTCATCTCTGTGAGTTAAATACATTCATCATGAAGAACTTTCTCAGACTGTTTGTGTTTAGATATGGGAAATTTCTCCCGTTTCCAACGAAATCCTTAGAGAGGTCCAAATATCCCCTTGCAGATTCTACCAAAAGTGTATTTGGAAACTGCTCCATCAAAAGACACGTTCAGCTCTGTTAGTTAAACTCCATCATCACAAAGAATATTCTGAGAATGCTTCCGTTTGCTTTTTTATGAATTTCCTTCCTATACTACCGTAGGCCTCAAAGCAGTCCAAATCTCCATTTGCAGATTCTACAAAAAGAGTGTTTCCAATCTGCTCTATCAATAGGATTGTTCAACTCCGTGAGTTGAATGCCATCGTCACAAATTAATTTCTGAGAATGCTTCTATCTAGTTTTTATGTGAAGATATTTCCTTTTCCACCACAGGCCTCAAAGCCCTCCAAACGTCCACTTGTAGATTCTCCAAAAAGAGTGTTTCATAGCTGCTCTTTCAAAAGGAATGTTCAACTCTGGCAGTTGAATGCAAACATCACAAAGTAGTTTCCGAGAATGCTTCCTGTTTAGTTTTTATGTGAAGATGATCCCGTTTCCAGTGAAATCTTCAAAGAGGTCCACATATCCCCTTGCAGATTCCAAAGAAAGAGGGTTTCAAAACTGCTCCATCAGAAGGATTGTTCAACTCTGTGAGTTGAATGCAGTCATCGCAGAAAACTTTCTGAGAATGCTTCTGTCTAGGTTTGATGTGAAGATATAGCATGTTTCAAACGAAGGCTACAAAGTGGTCAAAATATACACTTGCAGATTCTACTACAAGGGTGTTGCAAACCTGAACTATCAAAGGAAGGTTCAACTCTGTGAGTTGAATACAAACATCACAAAGAATGTTCTGAGTTTGCTTCCGTTCAGTTATGGGAAGTTGATCCCGTTTCCAACGAAATCCTCAGAGAGGTCCAAATATCCCCTCGCAGATTCTACAAAACGTGTGTTTGGAAACTGCTCCATCATAACGAATGTTCAGCTCCCTGAGTTAAACTCCATCGTCACAAAGAATTTTCTGAGAGTGCTACCGTCTGGTTTTTATATGAAGTTCTTTCCTTCACTACCACAGGCCTCAAAGCGGTCCAAATCTCCACTTGCAGATTCTACAAAAAGAGTGTTTGCAAACTGCTCTATCAAAAGGAATGTTCAACTCTGGGAGTTGAATGCAATCATCACAGAGCAGTTTCTGAGAATGCTTCTATGTCGTTTTTAGGAGAAGATATTTCCTTTTCCAACACAGTCCTCCAAGCCCGCTAAATAGCCACTTGCACATTGTAGAAAAAGTGTGTCAAAGCTGCGCTATCAAAGGGAAAGTTCAACTCTGTGAGGTGAATGCAAACATCCCAAAGAAGTTTCTGAGAATGCTTCCGTTTAGCTTTTAGGTGAAGATTATCCCGTTTCCAACGAAACCTTCAAAGAGGTCCAAATATCCCCTTGCGGATCCCACAGAAAGAGTGTTTCGAAACTGCTGTTTCAAAAGGAATCTTCAACTCTGTGAGTTGAATGCAATCATCACAAAGAAGTTTCTGACAATGCTTCTCTCTCGTCTTTCTGTGAACATAAAGGAAAAGGCGTTCAGGCCTTTGCCACCACAGGCCTGAAAGCGCTCCAAATGTCCACTTGCAGATTCTGCCAAAAGAATATTTCAAAACTGCTCTATGAAAAGCAATGTTAAACTCTGTGGCTCGAACACAAACATCACAAAGCAGTTTCTGAGAATGCTTCAGTTTAGTTTTTCTGTGGAAATATTCCCGTTTCCAAAGAAATCTTCAAAGACGTCCACGTATCCACTTACAGATTCTACAAAAAGACAGTTTCAAAACTGCTCCATCAAAAGGAGGGTTCAACTGTGTGACTTGAATGCAATCATCACTCAGAAGTTTCTGAGAATGCTTCTCTTTAGTTTTTAGGTGAACATATACCCGTTTCGAACGAAGGCCACCCAGTGGTCCAAATATCCACTTGCAGATTATACAGAAAGAGTGTTTCGAACCTGAACTCTCAAAGGCAGGTTCATCTCTGTGAGTTAAATGCATTCATCATGAAGAACTTTCTCAGAGTGTTTGTGTTTAGTTATGGGAAATTATTCCCGTTTCCAACGAAATCCTCAGAGAGCTCCAAATATCCACCTGCAGATTCTACCAAAAGTGTATTTGGAAACTGCTCCATCAAAAGGCATGTTCAGCTCTGTGAGTGAAACTCCATCATCACAAAGAATATTCTGAGAATGCTTCCGTTTGCCTTTTATATGAAGTTCCTTCCTGTACTACCGTAGGCCTCAAAGCAGTCCAAATCTCCATTTGCAGATTCTATAAAAAGAGTGATTCCAATCTGCTCTATCAATAGGATTGTTCAACTCCATGAGTTGAATGCCATCCTCACAAAGTAGTTTCTGAGAATGCTTCTATCTGGTTTTTGTGTGAAGATATTTCCTTTTCCACCACAGGCCTCAAAGCCCTCCAAACGTCCACTTGCAGATTCTCGAAAAAGAGTGTTTCATAGCTGCTCTTTCAAAAGGAAAGTTCAACTCTGGCAGTTGAATACAAACATCACAAAGTAGTTTCAGAGAATGCTTTCTGTTTAGTTCTTATGTGAAGATGATCCCGTTTCCAGTGAAATCTTCAAAGTAGGTCCACATATCCCCTTGCAGATTCCAAAGAAAGAGGGTTTCAAAACTGCTCCATCAAAAGGATTGTTCAACTCTGTGAGTTGAATGCAGTCATCGCAGAAAACTTTCTGAGAATGCTTCTGTCTAGGTTTGATGTGAAGATATAGACGTTTCAAACGAAGGCTACAAAGTGGTCAAAATATACACTTGCAGATTCTACTACAAGGGTTTTGCAAACCTGAACTATCAAAGGAAGGTTCAACTCTGTGAGTTGAATACAAACATAACAAAGAATGTTCTGAGTTTGCTTCCGTTCAGTTATGGGAAGTTGATCCCGTTTCCAACGAAATCCTCAGAGAGGTCCAAATATCCCCTTGCAGATTCTACAAAACGTGTGTTTGGAAACTGCTCCATCATAACGAATGTTCAGCTCCCTGAGTTAAACTCCATCGTCACAAAGAATTTTCTGAGAGTGCTACCGTCTGGTTTTTATATGAAGTTCTTTCCTTCACTACCACAGGCCTCAAAGCGGTCCAAATCTCCACTTGCAGATTCTACAAAAAGAGTGTTTGCAAACTGCTCTATCAAAAGGAATGTTCAACTCTGGGAGTTGAATGCAATCATCACAGAGCAGTTTCTGAGAATGCTTCTATGTCGTTTTTAGGAGAAGATATTTCCTTTTCCAACACAGTCCTCCAAGCCCGCTAAATAGCCACTTGCACATTGTAGAAAAAGTGTGTCAAAGCTGCGCTATCAAAGGGAAAGTTCAACTCTGTGAGGTGAATGCAAACATCCCAAAGAAGTTTCTGAGAATGCTTCCGTTTAGCTTTTAGGTGAAGATTATCCCGTTTCCAACGAAACCTTCAAAGAGGTCCAAATATCCCCTTGCGGATCCCACAGAAAGAGTGTTTCGAAACTGCTGTTTCAAAAGGAATCTTCAACTCTGTGAGTTGAATGCAATCATCACAAAGAAGTTTCTGACAATGCTTCTCTCTCGTCTTTCTGTGAAGATAAAGGAAAAGGCTTTCAGGCCTTTTCCACCACAGGCCTGAAAGCGCTCCAAATGTCCACTTGCAGATTCTGCCAAAAGAATATTTCAAAACTGCTCTATGAAAAGCAATGTTAAACTCTGTGGCTCGAACACAAACATCACAAAGCGGTTTCTGAGAATGCTTCAGTTTAGTTTTTCTGTGGAAATATTCCCGTTTCCAAAGAAATCTTCAAAGAGGTCCACGTATCCACTTACAGATTCTACAAAAAGACAGTTTCAAAACTGCTCCATCAAAAGGAGGGTTCAACTGTGTGACTTGAATGCAATCATCACTCAGAAGTTTCTGAGAATGCTTCTCTTTAGTTTTTACGTGAACATATACCCGTTTCGAACGAAGGCCAGCCAGTGGTCCAAATATCCACTTGCAGATTCTACAGAAAGAGTGTTTCGAACCTGAACTCTCAAAGGCAGGTTCATCTCTGCGAGTTAAATGCATTCATCATGAAGAACTTTCTCAGAGTGTTGTGTTTAGTTATGGGAAATTATTCCCGTTTCCAACGAAATCCTCAGAGCAGCTCCAAATATCCACCTGCAGATTCTACCAAAAGTGTATTTGGAAACTGCTCCATCAAAAGGCATGTTCAGCTCTGTGAGTGAAACTCCATCATCACAAAGAATATTCTGAGAATGCTTCCGTTTGCCTTTTATATGAAGTTCCTTCCTGTACTACTGTAGGCCTCAAAGCAGTCCAAATCTCCATTTGCAGATTCTACAAAAAGAGTGATTCCAATCTGCTCTATCAATAGGATTGTTCAACTCCATGAGTTGAATGCCATCCTCACAAAGTAGTTTCTGAGAATGCTTCTATCTGGTTTTTGTGTGAAGATATTTCCTTTTCCACCACAGGCCTCAAAGCCCTCCAAACGTCCACTTGCAGATTCTCGAAAAAGAGTGTTTCATAGCTGCTCTTTCAAAAGGAAAGTTCAACTCTGGGAGTTGAATACAAACATCACAAAATAGTTTCCGAGAATGCTTCTGTTTAGTTTTTATGTGAAGATGATCCCGTTTCCAGTGAAATCTTCAAAGAGGTCCACATATCCCCTTGCAGATTCCAAAGAAAGAGGGTTTCAAAACTGCTCCATCAAAAGGATTGTTCAACTCTGTGAGTTGAATGCAGTCATCGCAGAAAACTTTCTGAGAATGCTTCTTTCTAGGTTTGATGTGAAGATATAGACGTTTCAAACGAAGGCTACAAAGTGGTCAAAATATACACTTGCAGATTCTACTACAAGGGTGTTGCAAACCTGAACTATCAAAGGAAGGTTCAACTCTGTGAGTTGAATACAAACATCACAAAGAATGTTCTGAGTTTGCTTCCGTTCAGTTATGGGAAGTTGATCCCGTTTCCAACGAAATCCTCAGAGAGGTCCAAATATCCCCTTGCAGATTCTACAAAACGTGTGTTTGGAAACTGCTCCATCATAACGAATGTTCAGCTCCCTGAGTTAAACTCCATCGTCACAAAGAATTTTCTGAGAGTGCTACCGTCTGGTTTTTATATGAAGTTCTTTCCTTCACTACCACTGGTCTCAAAGCGGTCCAAATCTCCACTTGCAGATTCTACAAAAAGAGTGTTTGCAAACTGCTCTATAAAAAGGAATGTTCAACTCTGGGAGTTGAATGCAATCATCACAGAGCAGTTTCTGAGAATGCTTCTATGTCGTTTTTAGGAGAAGATATTTCCTTTTCCAACACAGTCCTCCAAGCCCGCTAAATAGCCACTTGCACATTGTAGAAAAAGTGTGTCAAAGCTGCGCTATCAAAGGGAAAGTTCAACTCTGTGAGGTGAATGCAAACATCCCAAAGAAGTTTCTGAGAATGCTTCCGTTTAGCTTTTAGGTGAAGATTATCCCGTTTCCAACGAAACCTTCAAAGAGGTCCAAATATCCCCTTGCGGATCCCACAGAAAGAGTGTTTCGAAACTGCTGTTTCAAAAGGAATCTTCAACTCTGTGAGTTGAATGCAATCATCACAAAGAAGTTTCTGACAATGCTTCTCTCTCGTCTTTCTGTGAAGATAAAGGAAAAGGCTTTCAGGCCTTTTCCACCACAGGCCTGAAAGCGCTCCAAATGTCCACTTGCAGATTCTGCGAAAAGAATATTTCAAAACTGCTCTATGAAAAGCAATGTTAAACTCTGTGGCTCGAACACAAACATCACAAAGCAGTTTCTGAGAATGATTCAGTTTAGTTTTTCTGTGGAAATATTCCCGTTTCCAAAGAAATCTTCAAAGAGGTCCACGTATCCACTTACAGATTCTACAAAAAGACAGTTTCAAAACTGCTCCATCAAAAGGAGTGTTCAACTGTGTGACTTGAATGCAATCATCACTCAGAAGTTTCTGAGAATGCTTCTCTTTAGTTTTTACGTGAACATATACCCGTTTCGAACGAAGGCCACCCAGTGGTCCAAATATCCACTTGCAGATTCTACAGAAAGAGTGTTTCGAACATGAACTCTCAAAGGCAGGTTCATCTCTGCGAGTTAAATGCATTCATCATGAAGAACTTTCTCAGAGTGTTTGTGTTTAGTTATGGGAAATTATTCCCGTTTCCAACGAAATCCTCAGAGAGCTCCAAATATCCACCTGCAGATTCTACCAAAAGTGTATTTGGAAACTGCTCCATCAAAAGGCATGTTCCGCTCTGTGAGTGAAACTCCATCATCACAAAGAATATTCTGAGAATGCTTCCGTTTGCCTTTTATATGAAGTTCCTTCCTATACGACCGTAGGCCTCAAAGCAGTCCAAATCTCCATTTGCAGATTCTACAAAAAGAGTGATTCCAATCTGCTCTATCAATAGGATTGTTCAACTCCATGAGTTGAATGCCATCCTCACAAAGTAGTTTCTGAGAATGCTTCTATCTAGTTTTTATGTGAAGATATTTCCTTTTCCACCACAGGCCTCAAAGCCTTCCAAACGTCCACTTGCAGATTCTCGAAAAAGAGTGTTTCATAGCTGCTCTTTCAAAAGGAAAGTTCAACTCTGGGAGTTGAATACAAACATCACAAAGTAGTTTCCGAGAATGCTTCTGTTTAGTTTTTATGTGAAGATGATCCCGTTTCCAGTGAAATCTTCAAAGAGGTCCACATATCCCCTTGCAGATTCCAAAGAAAGAGGGTTTCAAAACTGCTCCATCAGAAGGATTGTTCAACTCTGTGAGTTGAATGCAGTCATCGCAGAAAACTTTCTGAGAATGCTTCTTTCTAGGTTTGATGTGAAGATATAGACGTTTCAAACGAAGGCTACAAAGTGGTCAAAATATACACTTGCAGATTCTACTACAAGGGTGTTGCAAACCTGAACTATCAAAGGAAGGTTCAACTCTGTGAGTTGAATACAAACATCACAAAGAATGTTCTGAGTTTGCTTCCGTTCAGTTATGGGAAGTTGATCCCGTTTCCAACGAAATCCTCAGAGAGGTCCAAATATCCCCTTGCAGATTCTACAAAACGTGTGTTTGGAAACTGCTCCATCATAACGAATGTTCAGCTCCCTGAGTTAAACTCCATCGTCACAAAGAATTTTCTGAGAGTGCTACCGTCTGGTTTTTATATGAAGTTCTTTCCTTCACTACCACAGGCCTCAAAGCGGTCCAAATCTCCACTTGCAGATTCTACAAAAAGAGTGTTTGCAAACTGCTCTATCAAAAGGAATGTTCAACTCTGGGAGTTGAATGCAATCATCACAGAGCAGTTTCTGAGAATGCTTCTATGTCGTTTTTAGGAGAAGATATTTCCTTTTCCAACACAGTCCTCCAAGCCCGCTAAATATCCACTTGCACATTGTAGAAAAAGTGTGTCGAAGCTGCGCTATCAAAGGGAAAATTCAACTCTCTGAGGTGAATGCAAACATCCAAAAGAAGTTTCTGAGAATGCTTCCCGTTTAGCTTTTAGGTGAGGATTATCCCGTTTCCAACGAAACCTTCAAAGAGGTCCAAATATCCCCTTGCGGATCCCACAGAAAGAGTGTTTCGAAACTGCTGTTTCAAAAGGAATCTTCAACTCTGTGAGTTGAATGCAATCATCACAAAGAAGTTTCTGACAATGCTTCTCTCTCGTCTTTCTGTGAAGATAAAGGAAAAGGCTTTCAGGCCTTTTCCACCACAGGCCTGAAAGCGCTCCAAATGTCCACTTGCAGATTCTGCGAAAAGAATATTTCAAAACTGCTCTATGAAAAGCAATGTTAAACTCTGTGGCTCGAACACAAACATCACAAAGCGGTTTCTGAGAATGCTTCAGTTTAGTTTTTCTGTGGAAATATTCCCGTTTCCAAAGAAATCTTCAAAGAGGTCCACGTATCCACTTACAGATTCTACAAAAAGACAGTTTCAAAACTGCTCCATCAAAAGGAGGGTTCAACTGTGTGACTTGAATGCAATCATCACTCAGAAGTTTCTGAGAATGCTTCTCTTTAGTTTTTACGTGAACATATACCCGTTTCGAACGAAGGCCAGCCAGTGGTCCAAATATCCACTTGCAGATTCTACAGAAAGAGTGTTTCGAACATGAACTCTCAAAGGCAGGTTCATCTCTGCGAGTTAAATGCATTCATCATGAAGAACTTTCTCAGAGTGTTTGTGTTTAGTTATGGGAAATTATTCCCGTTTCCAACGAAATCCTCAGAAAGCTCCAAATATCCACCTGCAGATTCTACCAAAAGTGTATTTGGAAACTGCTCCATCAAAAGGCATGTTCAGCTCTGTGAGTGAAACTCCATCATCACAAAGAATATTCTGAGAATGCTTCCGTTTGCCTTTTATATGAAGTTCCTTCCTATACGACCGTAGGCCTCAAAGCAGTCCAAATCTCCATTTGCAGATTCTACAAAAAGAGTGATTCCAATCTGCTCTATCAATAGGATTGTTCAACTCCATGAGTTGAATGCCATCCTCACAAAGTCGTTTCTGAGAATGCTTCTATCTAGTTTTTATGTGAAGATATTTCCTTTTCCACCACAGGCCTCAAAGCCCTCCAAACGTCCACTTGCAGATTCTCGAAAAAGAGTGTTTCATAGCTGCTCTTTCAAAAGGAAAGTTCAACTCTGGGAGTTGAATACAAACATCACAAAGTAGTTTCCGAGAATGCTTCTGTTTAGTTTTTATGTGAAGATGATCCCGTTTCCAGTGAAATCTTCAAAGAGGTCCACATATCCCCTTGCAGATTCCAAAGAAAGAGGGTTTCAAAACTGCTCCATCAGAAGGATTGTTCAACTCTGTGAGTTGAATGCAGTCATCACAGAAAACTTTCTGAGAATGCTTCTGTCTAGGTTTGATGTGAAGATATAGACGTTTCAAACGAAGGCTACAAAGTGGTCAAAATATACACTTGCAGATTCTACTACAAGGGTGTTGCAAACCTGAACTATCAAAGGAAGGTTCAACTCTGTGAATTGAATACAAACATCACAAAGAATGTTCTGAGTTTGCTTCCGTTCAGTTATGGGAAGTTGATCCCGTTTCCAACGAAATCCTCAGAGAGGTCCAAATATCCCCTCGCAGATTCTACAAAACGTGTGTTTGGAAACTGCTCCATCATAACGAATGTTCAGCTCCCTGAGTTAAACTCCATCGTCACAAAGAATTTTCTGAGAGTGCTACCGTCTGGTTTTTATATGAAGTTCTTTCCTTCACTACCACAGGCCTCAAAGCGGTCCAAATCTCCACTTGCAGATTCTACAAAAAGAGTGTTTGCAAACTGCTCTATCAAAAGGAATGTTCAACTCTGGGAGTTGAATGCAATCATCACAGAGCAGTTTCTGAGAATGCTTCTATGTCGTTTTTAGGAGAAGATATTTCCTTTTCCAACACAGTCCTCCAAGCCCGCTAAATAGCCACTTGCACATTGTAGAAAAAGTGTGTCAAAGCTGCGCTATCAAAGGGAAAGTTCAACTCTGTGAGGTGAATGCAAACATCCCAAAGAAGTTTCTGAGAATGCTTCCGTTTAGCTTTTAGGGGAAGATTATCCCGTTTCCAACGAAACCTTCAAAGAGGTCCAAATATCCCCTTGCGGATCCCACAGAAAGAGTGTTTCGAAACTGCTGTTTCAAAAGGAATCTTCAACTCTGTGAGTTGAATGCAATCATCACAAAGAAGTTTCTGACAATGCTTCTCTCTCGTCTTTCTGTGAAGATAAAGGAAAAGGCTTTCAGGCCTTTTCCACCACAGGCCTGAAAGCGCTCCAAATGTCCACTTGCAGATTCTGCGAAAAGAATATTTCAAAACTGCTCTATGAAAAGCAATGTTAAACTCTGTGGCTCGAACACAAACATCACAAAGCGGTTTCTGAGAATGCTTCAGTTTAGTTTTTCTGTGGAAATATTCCCGTTTCCAAAGAAATCTTCAAAGAGGTCCACGTATCCACTTACAGATTCTACAAAAAGACAGTTTCAAAACTGCTCCATCAAAAGGAGGGTTCAACCGTGTGACTTGAATGCAATCATCACTCAGAAGTTTCTGAGAATGCTTCTCTTTAGTTTTTACGTGAACATATACCCGTTTCGAACGAAGGCCACCCAGTGGTCCAAATATCCACTTGCAGATTCTACAGAAAGAGTGTTTCGAACCTGAACTCTCAAAGGCAGGTTCATCTCTGCGAGTTAAATGCATTCATCATGAAGAACTTTCTCAGAGTGTTTGTGTTTAGTTATGGGAAATTATTCCCGTTTCCAACGAAATCCTCAGAGAGCTCCAAATATCCACCTGCAGATTCTACCAAAAGTGTATTTGGAAACTGCTCCATCAAAAGGCATGTTCAGCTCTGTGAGTGAAACTCCATCATCACAAAGAATATTCTGAGAATGCTTCCGTTTGCCTTTTATATGAAGTTCCTTCCTGTACTACTGTAGGCCTCAAAGCAGTCCAAATCTCCATTTGCAGATTCTACAAAAAGAGTGATTCCAATCTGCTCTATCAATAGGATTGTTCAACTCCATGAGTTGAATGCCATCCTCACAAAGTAGTTTCTGAGAATGCTTCTATCTGGTTTTTGTGTGAAGATATTTCCTTTTCCACCACAGGCCTCAAAGCCCTCCAAACGTCCACTTGCAGATTCTCGAAAAAGAGTGTTTCATAGCTGCTCTTTCAAAAGGAAAGTTCAACTCTGGGAGTTGAATACAAACATCACAAAATAGTTTCCGAGAATGCTTCTGTTTAGTTTTTATGTGAAGATGATCCCGTTTCCAGTGAAATCTTCAAAGAGGTCCACATATCCCCTTGCAGATTCCAAAGAAAGAGGGTTTCAAAACTGCTCCATCAAAAGGATTGTTCAACTCTGTGAGTTGAATGCAGTCATCGCAGAAAACTTTCTGAGAATGCTTCTGTCTAGGTTTGATGTGAAGATATAGACGTTTCAAACGAAGGCTACAAAGTGGTCAAAATATACACTTGCAGATTCTACTACAAGGGTGTTGCAAACCTGAACTATCAAAGGAAGGTTCAACTCTGTGAGTTGAATACAAACATCACAAAGAATGTTCTGAGTTTGCTTCCGTTCAGTTATGGGAAGTTGATCCCGTTTCCAACGAAATCCTCAGAGAGGTCCAAATATCCCCTTGCAGATTCTACAAAACGTGTGTTTGGAAACTGCTCCATCATAACGAATGTTCAGCTCCCTGAGTTAAACTCCATCGTCACAAAGAATTTTCTGAGAGTGCTACCGTCTGGTTTTTATATGAAGTTCTTTCCTTCACTACCACAGGCCTCAAAGCGGTCCAAATCTCCACTTGCAGATTCTACAAAAAGAGTGTTTGCAAACTGCTCTATCAAAAGGAATGTTCAACTCTGGGAGTTGAATGCAATCATCACAGAGCAGTTTCTGAGAATGCTTCTATGTCGTTTTTAGGAGAAGATATTTCCTTTTCCAACACAGTCCTCCAAGCCCGCTAAATAGCCACTTGCACATTGTAGAAAAAGTGTGTCAAAGCTGCGCTATCAAAGGGAAAGTTCAACTCTGTGAGGTGAATGCAAACATCCCAAAGAAGTTTCTGAGAATGCTTCCGTTTAGCTTTTAGGTGAAGATTATCCCGTTTCCAACGAAACCTTCAAAGAGGTCCAAATATCCCCTTGCGGATCCCACAGAAAGAGTGTTTCGAAACTGCTGTTTCAAAAGGAATCTTCAACTCTGTGAGTTGAATGCAATCATCACAAAGAAGTTTCTGACAATGCTTCTCTCTCGTCTTTCTGTGAAGATAAAGGAAAAGGCTTTCAGGCCTTTTCCACCACAGGCCTGAAAGCGCTCCAAATGTCCACTTGCAGATTCTGCCAAAAGAATATTTCAAAACTGCTCTATGAAAAGCAATGTTAAACTCTGTGGCTCGAACACAAACATCACAAAGCGGTTTCTGAGAATGCTTCAGTTTAGTTTTTCTGTGGAAATATTCCCGTTTCCAAAGAAATCTTCAAAGAGGTCCACGTATCCACTTACAGATTCTACAAAAAGACAGTTTCAAAACTGCTCCATCAAAAGGAGGGTTCAACTGTGTGACTTGAATGCAATCATCACTCAGAAGTTTCTGAGAATGCTTCTCTTTAGTTTTTACGTGAACTTATACCCGTTTCGAACGAAGGCCAGCCAGTGGTCCAAATATCCACTTGCAGATTCTACAGAAAGAGTGTTTCGAACCTGAACTCTCAAAGACAGGTTCATCTCTGCGAGTTAAATGCATTCATCATGAAGAACTTTCTCAGAGTGTTTGTGTTTAGTTATGGGAAATTATTCCCGTTTCCAACGAAATCCTCAGAGAGCTCCAAATATCCACCTGCAGATTCTACCAAAAGTGTATTTGGAAACTGCTCCATCAAAAGGCATGTTCAGCTCTGTGAGTGAAACTCCATCATCACAAAGAATATTCTGAGAATGCTTCCGTTTGCCTTTTATATGAAGTTCCTTCCTATACGACCGTAGGCCTCAAAGCAGTCCAAATCTCCATTTGCAGATTCTACAAAAAGAGTGATTCCAATCTGCTCTATCAATAGGATTGTTCAACTCCATGAGTTGAATGCCATCCTCACAAAGTCGTTTCTGAGAATGCTTCTATCTAGTTTTTATGTGAAGATATTTCCTTTTCCACCACAGGCCTCAAAGCCCTCCAAACGTCCACTTGCAGATTCTCGAAAAAGAGTGTTTCATAGCTGCTCTTTCAAAAGGAAAGTTCAACTCTGGCAGTTGAATACAAACATCACAAAGTAGTTTCCGAGAATGCTTCTGTTTAGTTTTTATGTGAAGATGATCCCGTTTCCAGTGAAATCTTCAAAGAGGTCCACATATCCCCTTGCAGATTCCAAAGAAAGAGGGTTTCAAAACTGCTCCATCAGAAGGATTGTTCAACTCTGTGAGTTGAATGCAGTCATCGCAGAAAACTTTCTGAGAATGCTTCTGTCTAGGTTTGATGTGAAGATATAGACGTTTCAAACGAAGGCTACAAAGTGGTCAAAATATACACTTGCAGATTCTACTACAAGGGTGTTGCAAACCTGAACTATCAAAGGAAGGTTCAACTCTGTGAGTTGAATACAAACATCACAAAGAATGTTCTGAGTTTGCTTCCGTTCAGTTATGGGAAGTTGATCCCGTTTCCAACGAAATCCTCAGAGAGGTCCAAATATCCCCTTGCAGATTCTACAAAACGTGTGTTTGGAAACTGCTCCATCATAACGAATGTTCAGCTCCCTGAGTTAAACTCCATCGTCACAAAGAATTTTCTGAGAGTGCTACCGTCTGGTTTTTATATGAAGTTCTTTCCTTCACTACCACAGGCCTCAAAGCGGTCCAAATCTCCACTTGCAGATTCTACAAAAAGAGTGTTTGCAAACTGCTCTATCAAAAGGAATGTTCAACTCTGGGAGTTGAATGCAATCATCACAGAGCAGTTTCTGAGAATGCTTCTATGTCGTTTTTAGGAGAAGATATTTCCTTTTCCAACACAGTCCTCCAAGCCCGCTAAATAGCCACTTGCACATTGTAGAAAAAGTGTGTCAAAGCTGCGCTATCAAAGGGAAAGTTCAACTCTGTGAGGTGAATGCAAACATCCCAAAGAAGTTTCTGAGAATGCTTCCGTTTAGCTTTTAGGTGAAGATTATCCCGTTTCCAACGAAACCTTCAAAGAGGTCCAAATATCCCCTTGCGGATCCCACAGAAAGAGTGTTTCGAAACTGCTGTTTCAAAAGGAATCTTCAACTCTGTGAGTTGAATGCAATCATCACAAAGAAGTTTCTGACAATGCTTCTCTCTCGTCTTTCTGTGAAGATAAAGGAAAAGGCTTTCAGGCCTTTTCCACCACAGGCCTGAAAGCGCTCCAAATGTCCACTTGCAGATTCTGTGAAAAGAATATTTCAAAACTGCTCTATGAAAAGCAATGTTAAACTCTGTGGCTCGAACACAAACATCACAAAGCAGTTTCTGAGAATGCTTCAGTTTAGTTTTTCTTTGGAAATATTCCCGTTTCCAAAGAAATCTTCAAAGAGGTCCACGTATCCACTTACAGATTCTACAAAAAGACAGTTTCAAAACTGCTCCATCAAAAGGAGGGTTCAACTGTGTGACTTGAATGCAATCATCACTCAGAAGTTTCTGAGAATGCTTCTCTTTAGTTTTTACGTGAACATATACCCGTTTCGAACGAAGGCCACCCAGTGGTCCAAATATCCACTTGCAGATTCTACAGAAAGAGTGTTTCGAACCTGAACTCTCAAAGGCAGGTTCATCTCTGCGAGTTAAATGCATTCATCATGAAGAACTTTCTCAGAGTGTTTGTGTTTAGTTATGGGAAATTATTCCCGTTTCCAACGAAATCCTCAGAGAGCTCCAAATATCCACCTGCAGATTCTACCAAAAGTGTATTTGGAAACTGCTCCATCAAAAGGCATGTTCAGCTCTGTGAGTGAAACTCCATCATCACAAAGAATATTCTGAGAATGCTTCCGTTTGCCTTTTATATGAAGTTCCTTCCTGTACTACCGTAGGCCTCAAAGCAGTCCAAATCTCCATTTGCAGATTCTACAAAAAGAGTGATTCCAATCTGCTCTATCAATAGGATTGTTGAACTCCATGAGTTGAATGCCATGCTCACAAAGTAGTTTCTGAGAATGCTTCTATCTAGTTTTATGTGAAGATATTTCCTTTTCCACCACAGGCCTCAAAGCCCTCCAAACGTCCACTTGCAGATTCTCGAAAAAGAGTGTTTCATAGCTGCTCTTTCAAAAGGAAAGTTCAACTCTGGGAGTTGAATACAAACATCACAAAGTAGTTTCCGAGAATGCTTCTGTTTAGTTTTTATGTGAAGATGATCCCATTTCCAGTGAAATCTTCAAAGAGGTCCACATATCCCCTTGCAGATTCCAAAGAAAGAGGGTTTCAAAACTGCTCCATCAGAAGGATTGTTCAACTCTGTGAGTTGAATGCAGTCATCGCAGAAAACTTTCTGAGAATGCTTCTGTCTAGGTTTGATGTGAAGATATAGACGTTTCAAACGAAGGCTACAAAGAGGTCAAAATATACACTTGCAGATTCTACTACAAGGGTGTTGCAAACCTGAACTATCAAAGGAAGGTTCAACTCTGTGAGTTGAATACAAACATCACAAAGAATGTTCTGAGTTTGCTTCCGTTCAGTTATGGGAAGTTGATCCCGTTTCCAACGAAATCCTCAGAGAGGTCCAAATATCCCCTTGCAGATTCTACAAAACGTGTGTTTGGAAACTGCTCCATCATAACGAATGTTCAGCTCCCTGAGTTAAACTCCATCGTCACAAAGAATTTTCTGAGAGTGCTACCGTCTGGTTTTTATATGAAGTTCTTTCCTTCACTACCACAGGCCTCAAAGCGGTCCAAATCTCCACTTGCAGATTCTACAAAAAGAGTGTTTGCAAACTGCTCTATCAAAAGGAATGTTCAACTCTGGGAGTTGAATGCAATCATCACAGAGCAGTTTCTGAGAATGCTTCTATGTCGTTTTTAGGAGAAGATATTTCCTTTTCCAACACAGTCCTCCAAGCCCGCTAAATAGCCACTTGCACATTGAAGAAAAAGTGTGTCAAAGCTGCGCTATCAAAGGGAAAGTTCAACTCTGTGAAGTGAATGCAAACATCCCAAAGAAGTTTCTGAGAATGCTTCCGTTTAGCTTTTAGGTGAAGATTATCCCGTTTCCAACGAAACCTTCAAAGAGGTCCAAATATCCCCTTGCGGATCCCACAGAAAGAGTGTTTCGAAACTGCTGTTTCAAAAGGAATCTTCAACTCTGTGAGTTGAATGCAATCATCACAAAGAAGTTTCTGACAATGCTTCTCTCTCGTCTTTCTGTGAAGATAAAGAAAAGGCTTTCAGGCCTTTTCCACCACAGGCCTGAAAGCGCTCCAAATGTCCACTTGCAGATTCTGCGAAAAGAATATTTCAAAACTGCTCTATGAAAAGCAATGTTAAACTCTGTGGCTCGAACACAAACATCACAAAGCAGTTTCTGAGAATGCTTCAGTTTAGTTTTTCTGTGGAAATATTCCCGTTTCCAAAGAAATCTTCAAAGAGGTCCACGTATCCACTTACAGATTCTACAAAAAGACAGTTTCAAAACTGCTCCATCAAAAGGAGGGTTCAACCGTGTGACTTGAATGCAATCATCACTCAGAAGTTTCTGAGAATGCTTCTCTTTAGTTTTTACGTGAACATATACCCGTTTCGAACGAAGGCCACCCAGTGGTCCAAATATCCACTTGCAGATTATACAGAAAGAGTGTTTCGAACCTGAACTCTCAAAGGCAGGTTCATCTCTGCGGGTTAAAAGCATTCATCATGAAGAACTTTCTCAGAGTGTTTGTGTTTAGTTATGGGAAATTATTCCCGTTTCCAACGAAATCCTCAGAGAGCTCCAAATATCCACCTGCAGATTCTACCAAAAGTGTATTTGGAAACTGCTCCATCAAAAGGCATGTTCAGCTCTGTGAGTGAAACTCCATCATCACAAAGAATATTCTGAGAATGCTTCCGTTTGCCTTTTATATGAAGTTCCTTCCTGTACTACCGTAGGCCTCAAAGCAGTCCAAATCTCCATTTGCAGATTCTATAAAAAGAGTGATTCCAATCTGCTCTATCAATAGGATTGTTCAACTCCATGAGTTGAATGCCATCCTCACAAAGTAGTTTCTGAGAATGCTTCTATCTGGTTTTTGTGTGAAGATATTTCCTTTTCCACCACAGGCCTCAAAGCCCTCCAAACGTCCACTTGCAGATTCTCGAAAAAGAGTGTTTCATAGCTGCTCTTTCCAAAGGAAAGTTCAACTCTGGGAGTTGAATACAAACATCACAAAGTAGTTTCCGAGAATGCTTCTGTTTAGTTTTTATGTGAAGATGATCCCGTTTCCAGTGAAATCTTCAAAGAGGTCCACATATCCCCTTGCAGATTCCAAAGAAAGAGGGTTTCAAAACTGCTCCATCAGAAGGATTGTTCAACTCTGTGAGTTGAATGCAGTCATCGCAGAAAACTTTCTGAGAATGCTTCTGTCTAGGTTTGATGTGAAGATATAGACGTTTCAAACGAAGGCTACAAAGTGGTCAAAATATACACTTGCAGATTCTACTACAAGGGTGTTGCAAACCTGAACTATCAAAGGAAGGTTCAACTCTGTGAGTTGAATACAAACATCACAAAGAATGTTCTGAGTTTGCTTCCGTTCAGTTATGGGAAGTTGATCCCGTTTCCAACGAAATCCTCAGAGAGGTCCAAATATCCCCTTGCAGATTCTACAAAACGTGTGTTTGGAAACTGCTCCATCATAACGAATGTTCAGCTCCCTGAGTTAAACTCCATCGTCACAAAGAATTTTCTGAGAGTGCTACCGTCTGGTTTTTATATGAAGCTCTTTCCTTCACTACCACAGGCCTCAAAGCGGTCCAAATCTCCACTTGCAGATTCTACAAAAAGAGTGTTTGCAAACTGCTCTATCAAAAGGAATGTTCAACTCTGGGAGTTGAATGCAATCATCACAGAGCAGTTTCTGAGAATGCTTCTATGTCGTTTTTAGGAGAAGATATTTCCTTTTCCAACACAGTCCTCCAAGCCCGCTAAATATCCACTTGCACATTGTAGAAAAAGTGTGTCAAAGCTGCGCTATCAAAGGGAAAGTTCAACTCTGTGAGGTGAATGCAAACATCCCAAAGAAGTTTCTGAGAATGCTTCCGTTTAGCTTTTAGGTGAAGATTATCCCGTTTCCAACGAAACCTTCAAAGAGGTCCAAATATCCCCTTGCGGATCCCACAGAAAGAGTGTTTCGAAACTGCTGTTTCAAAAGGAATCTTCAACTCTGTGAGTTGAATGCAATCATCACAAAGAAGTTTCTGACAATGCTTCTCTCTCGTCTTTCTGTGAAGATAAAGGAAAAGGCTTTCAGGCCTTTTCCACCACAGGCCTGAAAGCGCTCCAAATGTCCACTTGCAGATTCTGCCAAAAGAATATTTCAAAACTGCTCTATGAAAAGCAATGTTAAACTCTGTGGCTCGAACACAAACATCACAAAGCGGTTTCTGAGAATGCTTCAGTTTAGTTTTTCTGTGGAAATATTCCCGTTTCCAAAGAAATCTTCAAAGAGGTCCACGTATCCACTTACAGATTCTACAAAAAGACAGTTTCAAAACTGCTCCATCAAAAGGAGGGTTCTACTGTGTGACTTGAATGCAATCATCACTCACAAGTTTCTGAGAATGCTTCTCTTTAGTTTTTACGTGAACATATACCCGTTTCGAACGAAGGCCAGCCAGTGGTACAAATATCCACTTGCAGATTCTACAGAAAGAGTGTTTCGAACCTGAACTCTCAAAGGCAGGTTCATCTCTGCGAGTTAAATGCATTCATCATGAAGAACTTTCTCAGAGTGTTTTGTGTTTAGTTATGGGAAATTATTCCCGTTTCCAACGAAATCCTCAGAGAGCTCCAAATATCCACCTGCTGATTCTACCAAAAGTGTATTTGGAAACTGCTCCATCAAAAGGCATGTTCAGGTCTGTGAGTGAAACTCCATCATCACAAAGAATATTCTGAGAATGCTTCCGTTTGCCTTTTATATGAAGTTCCTTCCTATACTACCGTAGGCCTCAAAGCAGTCCAAATCTCCATTTGCAGATTCTACAAAAAGAGTGATTCCAATCTCCTCTATCAATAGGATTGTTCAACTCCATGAGTTGAATGCCATCCTCACAATGTCGTTTCTGAGAATGCTTCTATCTAGTTTTTATGTGAAGATATTTCCCTTTCCACCACAGGCCTCAAAGCCCTCCAAACGTCCACTTGCAGATTCTCGAAAAAGAGTGTTTCATAGCTGCTCTTTCAAAAGGGAAGTTCAACTCTGGGAGTTGAATACAAACATCCCAAAGTAGTTTCCGAGAATGCTTCTGTTTAGTTTTATGTGAAGATGATCCCGTTTCCAGTGAAATCTTCAAAGAGGTCCACATATCCCCTTGCAGATTCCAAAGAAAGAGGGTTTCAAAACTGCTCCATCAGAAGGATTGTTCAACTCTGTGAGTTGAATGCAGTCATCGCAGAAAACTTTCTGAGAATGCTTCTGTCTAGGTTTGATGTGAAGATATAGACGTTTCAAACGAAGGCTACAAAGTGGTCAAAATATACACTTGCAGATTCTACTACAAGGGTGTTGCAAACCTGAACTATCAAAGGAAGGTTCAACTCTGTGAGTTGAATACAAACATCACAAAGAATGTTCTGAGTTTGCTTCCGTTCAGTTATGGGAAGTTGATCCCGTTTCCAACGAAATCCTCAGAGAGGTCCAAATATCCCCTTGCAGATTCTACAAAACGTGTGTTTGGAAACTGCTCCATCATAACGAATGTTCAGCTCCCTGAGTTAAACTCCATCGTCACAAAGAATTTTCTGAGAGTGCTACCGTCTGGTTTTTATATGAAGTTCTTTCCTTCACTACCACAGGCCTCAAAGCGGTCCAAATCTCCACTTGCAGATTCTACAAAAAGAGTGTTTGCAAACTGCTCTATCCAAAGGAATGTTCAACTCTGGGAGTTGAATGCAATCATCACAGAGCAGTTTCTGAGAATGCTTCTATGTCGTTTTTAGGAGAAGATATTTCCTTTTCCAACACAGTCCTCCAAGCCCGCTAAATAGCCACTTGCACATTGTAGAAAAAGTGTGTCAAAGCTGCGCTATCAAAGGGAAAGTTCAACTCTGTGAGGTGAATGCAAACATCCCAAAGAAGTTTCTGAGAATGCTTCCGTTTAGCTTTTAGGTGAAGATTATCCCGTTTCCAACGAAACCTTCAAAGAGGTCCAAATATCCCCTTGCGGATCCCACAGAAAGAGTGTTTCGAAACTGCTGTTTCAAAAGGAATCTTCAACTACTGTGAGTTGAATGCAATCATCACAAAGAAGTTTCTGACAATGCTTTCTCTCTCGTCTTTCTGTGAAGATAAAGGAAAAGGCTTTCAGGCCTTTTCCACCACAGGCCTGAAAGCGCTCCAAATGTCCACTTGCAGATTCTGTGAAAAGAATATTTGAAAACTGCTCTATGAAAAGCAATGTTAAACTCTGTGGCTCGAACACAAACATCACAAAGCAGTTTCTGAGAATGCTTCAGTTTAGTTTTTCTGTGGAAATATTCCCGTTTCCAAAGAAATCTTCAAAGAGGTCCACGTATCCACTTACAGATTCTACAAAAAGACAGTTTCAAAACTGCTCCATCAAAAGGAGGGTTCAACTGTGTGACTTGAATGCAATCATCACTCAGAAGTTTCTGAGAATGCTTCTCTTTAGTTTTTACGTGAACATATACCCGTTTCGAACGAAGGCCAGCCAGTGGTCCAAATATCCACTTGCAGATTCTACAGAAAGAGTGTTTCGAACCTGAACTCTCAAAGGCACGTTCATCTCTGCGAGTTAAATGCATTCATCATGAAGAACTTTCTCAGAGTGTTTGTGTTTAGTTATGGGAAATTATTCCCGTTTCCAACGAAATCCTCAGAGAGCTCCAAATATCCACCTGCAGATTCTACCAAAAGTGTATTTGGAAACTGCTCCATCAAAAGGCATGTTCAGCTCTGTGAGTGAAACTCCATCATCACAAAGAATATTCTGAGAATGCTTCCGTTTGCCTTTTATATGAAGTTCCTTCCTATACTACCGTAGGCCTCAAAGCAGTCCAAATCTCCATTTGCAGATTCTACAAAAAGAGTGATTCCAATCTGCTCTATCAATAGGATTGTTCAACTCCATGAGTTGAATGCCATCCTCACAAAGTCGTTTCTGAGAATGCTTCTATCTAGTTTTAATGTGAAGATATTTCCTTTTCCACCACAGGCCTCAAAGCCCTCCAAACGTCCACTTGCAGATTCTCGAAAAAGAGTGTTTCATAGCTGCTCTTTCAAAAGGAAAGTTCAACTCTGGGAGTTGAATACAAACATCACAAAGTAGTTTCCGAGAATGCTTCTGTTTAGTTTTTATGTGAAGATGATCCCGTTTCCAGTGAAATCTTCAAAGAGGTCCACATATCCCCTTGCAGATTCCAAAGAAAGAGGGTTTCAAAACTGCTCCATCAGAAGGATTGTTCAACTCTGTGAGTTGAATGCAGTCATCGCAGAAAACTTTCTGAGAATGCTTCTGTCTAGGTTTGATGTGAAGATATAGACGTTTCAAACGAAGGCTACAAAGTGGTCAAAATATACACTTGCAGATTCTACTACAAGGGTGTTGCAAACCTGAACTATCAAAGGAAGGTTCAACTCTGTGAGTTGAATACAAACATCACAAAGAATGTTCTGAGTTTGCTTCCGTTCAGTTATGGGAAGTTGATCCCGTTTCCAACGAAATCCTCAGAGAGGTCCAAATATCCCCTTGCAGATTCTACAAAACGTGTGTTTGGAAACTGCTCCATCATAACGAATGTTCAGCTCCCTGAGTTAAACTCCATCGTCACAAAGAATTTTCTGAGAGTGCTACCGTCTAGTTTTTATATGAAGTTCTTTCCTTTACTACCACAGGCCTCAAAGCGGTCCAAATCTCCACTTGCAGATTCTACAAAAAGAGTGTCTGCAAACTGCTCTATCAAAAGGAATGTTCAACTCTGGGAGTTGAATGCAATCATCACAGAGCAGTTTCTGAGAAGGCTTCTATGTCGTTTTTAGGAGAAGATATTTCCTTTTCCAACACAGTCCTCCAAGCCCGCTAAATAGCCACTTGCACATTGTAGAAAAAGTGTGTCGAAGCTGCGCTATCAAAGGGAAAGTTCAACTCTGTGAGGTGAATGCAAACATCCCAAAGAAGTTTCTGAGAATGCTTCCGTTTAGCTTTAAGTGAAGATTATCCCGTTTCCAACGAAATCTTCAAAGAGGTCCAAATATCCCCTTGCGGATCCCACAGAAAGAGTGTTTCGAAACTGCTGTTTCAAAAGGAATCTTCAACTCTGTGAGTTGAATGCAATCATCACAAAGAAGTTTCTGACAATGCTTCTCTCTCGTCTTTCTGTGAAGATAAAGGAAAAGGCTTTCAGGCCATTTCCACCACAGGCCTGAAAGCGCTCCAAATGTCCACTTGCAGATTCTGCCAAAAGAATATTTCAAAACTGCTCTATGAAAAGCAATGTTAAACTCTGCGGCTCGAACACAAACATCACAAAGCAGTTTCTGAGAATGCTTCAGTTTAGTTTTTCTGTGGAAATATTCCCGTTTCCAAAGAAATCTTCAAAGAGGTCCACGCATCCACTTACAGATTCTACAAAAAGACAGTTTCAAAACTGCTCAATCAAAAGGAGGGTTCAACTGTGTGACTTGAATGCATTCATCACTCAGAAGTTTCTGAGAACGCTTCTCTTTAGTTTTTACGTGAACATATACCCGTTTCGAACGAAGGCCAGCCAGTGGTCCAAATATCCACTTGCAGATTCTACAGAAAGAGTGTTTCGAACCTGAACTCTCAAAGGCAGGTTCATCTCTGCGAGTTAAATGCATTCATCATGAAGAACTTTCTCAGCGTGTTTGTGTTTAGTTATGGGAAATTATTCCCGTTTCCAACGAAATCCTCAGAGAGCTCCAAATATCCACCTGCAGATTCTACCAAAAGTGTATTTGGAAACTGCTCCATCAAAAGGCATGTTCAGCTCTGTGAGTGAAACTCCATCATCACAAAGAATATTCTGAGAATGCTTCCGTTTGCCTTTTATATGAAGTTCCTTCCTATACTACCGTAGGCCTCAAAGCAGTCCAAATCTCCATTTGCAGATTCTACAAAAAGAGTGATTCCAATCTGCTCTATCAATAGGACTGTTCAACTCCATGAGTTGAATGCCATCCTCACAAAGTAGTTTCTGAGAATGCTTCTATCTAGTTTTTATGTGAAGATATTTCCTTTTCCACCACAGGCCTCAAAGCCCTCCAAACGTCCACTTGCAGATTCTCGAAAAAGAGTGTTTCATAGCTGCTCTTTCAAAAGGAAAGTTCAACTCTGGGAGTTGAATACAAACATCACAAAGTAGTTTCCGAGAATGCTTCTGTTTAGTTTTTATGTGAAGATGATCCCGTTTCCAGTGAAATCTTCAAAGAGGTCCACATATCCCCTTGCAGATTCCAAAGAAAGAGGGTTTCAAAACTGCTCCATCAGAAGGATTGTTCAACTCTGTGAGTTGAATGCAGTCATCGCAGAAAACTTTCTGAGAATGCTTCTGTCTAGGTTTGATGTGAAGATATAGACCTTTCAAACGAAGGCTACAAAGTGGTCAAAATATACACTTGCAGATTCTACTACAAGGGTGTTGCAAACCTGAACTATCAAAGGAAGGTTCAACTCTGTGAGTTGAATACAAACATCACAAAGAATGTTCTGAGTTTGCTTCCGTTCAGTTATGGGAAGTTGATCCCGTTTCCAACGAAATCCTCAGAGAGGTCCAAATATCCCCTTGCAGATTCTACAAAACGTGTGTTTGGAAACTGCTCCATCATAACGAATGTTCAGCTCCCTGAGTTAAACTCCATCGTCACAAAGAATTTTCTGAGAGTGCTACCGTCTGGTTTTTATATGAAGTTCTTTCCTTCACTACCACAGGCCTCAAAGCGGTCCAAATCTCCACTTGCAGATTCTACAAAAAGAGTGTTTGCAAACTGCTCTATCAAAAGGAATGTTCAACTCTGGGAGTTGAATGCAATCATCACAGAGCAGTTTCTGAGAATGCTTCTATGTCGTTTTTAGGAGAAGATATTTCCTTTTCCAACACAGTCCTCCAAGCCCGCTAAATAGCCACTTGCACATTGTAGAAAAAGTGTGTCGAAGCTGCGCTATCAAAGGGAAAGTTCAACTCTGTGAGGTGAATGCAAACATCCCAAAGAAGTTTCTGAGAATGCTTCCGTTTAGCTTTTAGGTGAAGATTATCCCGTTTCCAACGAAACCTTCAAAGAGGTCCAAATATCCCCTTGCGGATCCCACAGAAAGAGTGTTTCGAAACTGCTGTTTCAAAAGGAATCTTCAACTCTGTGAGTTGAATGCAATCATCACAAAGAAGTTTCTGACAATGCTTCTCTCTCGTCTTTCTGTGAAGATAAAGGAAAAGGCTTTCAGGCCTTTTCCACCACAGGCCTGAAAGCGCTCCAAATGTCCACTTGCAGATTCTGCGAAAAGAATATTTCAAAACTGCTCTATGAAAAGCAATGTTAAACTCTGTGGCTCGAACACAAACATCACAAAGCAGTTTCTGAGAATGCTTCAGTTTAGTTTTTCTGTGGAAATATTCCCGTTTCCAAAGAAATCTTCAAAGAGGTCCACGTATCCACTTACAGATTCTACAAAAAGACAGTTTCAAAACTGCTCCATCAAAAGGAGGGTTCAACTGTGTGACTTGAATGCAATCATCACTCAGAAGTTTCTGAGAATGCTTCTCTTTAGTTTTTACGTGAACATATACCCGTTTCGAACGAAGGCCACCCAGTGGTCCAAATATCCACTTGCAGATTCTACAGAAAGAGTGTTTCGAACCTGAACTCTCAAAGGCAGGTTCATCTCTGCGAGTTAAATGCATTCATCATGAAGAACTTTCTCAGAGTGTTTGTGTTTAGTTATGGGAAATTATTCCCGTTTCCAACGAAATCCTCAGAGAGCTCCAAATATCCACCTGCAGATTCTACCAAAAGTGTATTTGGAAACTGCTCCATCAAAAGGCATGTTCAGCTCTGTGAGTGAAACTCCATCATCACAAAGAATATTCTGAGAATGCTTCCGTTTGCCTTTTATATGAAGTTCCTTCCTATACGACCGTAGGCCTCAAAGCAGTCCAAATCTCCATTTGCAGATTCTACAAAAAGAGTGATTCCAATCTGCTCTATCAATAGGATTGTTCAACTCCATGAGTTGAATGCCATCCTCACAAAGTAGTTTCTGAGAATGCTTCTATCTAGTTTTTATGTGAAGATATTTCCTTTTCCACCACAGGCCTCAAAGCCCTCCAAACGTCCACTTGCAGATTCTCGAAAAAGAGTGTTTCATAGCTGCTCTTTCAAAAGGAAAGTTCAACTCTGGCAGTTGAATACAAACATCACAAAGTAGTTTCCGAGAATGCTTCTGTTTAGTTTCTATGTGAAGATGATCCCGTTTCCAGTGAAATCTTCAAAGAGGTCCACATATCCCCTTGCAGATTCCAAAGAAAGTGGGTTTCAAAACTGCTCCATCAGAAGGATTGTTCAACTGTGTGAGTTGAATGCAGTCATCGCAGAAAACTTTCTGAGAATGCTTCTGTCTAGGTTTGATGTGAAGATATAGACGTTTCAAACGAAGGCTACAAAGTGGTCAAAATATACACTTGCAGATTCTACTACAAGGGTGTTGCAAACCTGAACTATCAAAGGAAGGTTCAACTCTGTGAGTTGAATACAAACATCACAAAGAATGTTCTGAGTTTGCTTCCGTTCAGTTATGGGAAGTTGATCCCGTTTCCAACGAAATCCTCAGAGAGGTCCAAATATCCCCTTGCAGATTCTACAAAACGTGTGTTTGGAAACTGCTCCATCATAACGAATGTTCAGCTCCCTGAGTTAAACTCCATCGTCACAAAGAATTTTCTGAGAGTGCTACCGTCTGGTTTTTATATGAAGTTCTTTCCTTCACTACCACAGGCCTCAAAGCGGTCCAAATCTCCACTTGCAGATTCTACAAAAAGAGTGTTTGCAAACTGCTCTATCAAAAGGAATGTTCAACTCTGGGAGTTGAATGCAATCATCACAGAGCAGTTTCTGAGAATGCTTCTATGTCGTTTTTAGGAGAAGATATTTCCTTTTCCAACACAATCCTCCAAGCCCGCTAAATAGCCACTTGCACATTGTAGAAAAAGTGTGTCAAAGCTGCGCTATCAAAGGGAAAGTTCAACTCTGTGAGGTGAATGCAAACATCCCAAAGAAGTTTCTGAGAATGCTTCCGTTTAGCTTTTAGGTGAAGATTATCCCGTTTCCAACGAAACCTTCAAAGAGGTCCAAATATCCCCTTGCGGATCCCACAGAAAGAGTGTTTCGAAACTGCTGTTTCAAAAGGAATCTTCAACTCTGTGAGTTGAATGCAATCATCACAAAGAAGTTTCTGACAATGCTTCTCTCTCGTCTTTCTGTGAAGATAAAGGAAAAGGCTTTCAGGCCTTTTCCACCACAGGCCTGAAAGCGCTCCAAATGTCCACTTGCAGATTCTGCGAAAAGAATATTTCAAAACTGCTCTATGAAAAGCAATGTTAAACTCTGTGGCTCGAACACAAACATCACAAAGCAGTTTCTGAGAATGCTTCAGTTTAGTTTTTCTGTGGAAATATTCCCGTTTCCAAAGAAATCTTCAAAGAGGTCCACGCATCCACTTACAGATTCTACAAAAAGACAGTTTCAAAACTGCTCCATCAAAAGGAGGGTTCAACTGTGTGACTTGAATGCAATCATCACTCAGAAGTTTCTGAGAATGCTTCTCTTTAGTTTTTACGTGAACATATACCCGTTTCGAACGAAGGCCACCCAGTGGTCCAAATATCCACTTGCAGATTCTACAGAAAGAGTGTTTCGAACCTGAACTCTCAAAGGCAGGTTCATCTCTGCGAGTTAAATGCATTCATCATGAAGAACTTTCTCAGAGTGTTTGTGTTTAGTTATGGGAAATTATTCCCGTTTCCAACGAAATCCTCAGAGAGCTCCAAATATCCACCTGCAGATTCTACCAAAAGTGTATTTGGAAACTGCTCCATCAAAAGGCATGTTCAGCTCTGTGAGTGAAACTCCATCATCACAAAGAATATTCTGAGAATGCTTCCGTTTGCCTTTTATATGAAGTTCCTTCCTGTACTACTGTAGGCCTCAAAGCAGTCCAAATCTCCATTTGCAGATTCTACAAAAAGAGTGATTCCAATCTGCTCTATCAATAGGATTGTTCAACTCCATGAGTTGAATGCCATCCTCACAAAGTAGTTTCTGAGAATGCTTCTATCTGGTTTTTGTGTGAAGATATTTCCTTTTCCACCACAGGCCTCAAAGCCCTCCAAACGTCCACTTGCAGATTCTCGAAAAAGAGTGTTTCATAGCTGCTCTTTCAAAAGGAAAGTTCAACTCTGGGAGTTGAATACAAACATCACAAAATAGTTTCCGAGAATGCTTCTGTTTAGTTTTTATGTGAAGATGATCCCGTTTCCAGTGAAATCTTCAAAGAGGTCCACATATCCCCTTGCAGATTCCAAAGAAAGAGGGTTTAAAAACTGCTCCATCAGAAGGATTGTTCAACTCTGTGAGTTGAATGCAGTCATCGCAGAAAACTTTCTGAGAATGCTTCTGTCTAGGTTTGATGTGAAGATATAGACGTTTCAAACGAAGGCTACAAAGTGGTCAAAATATACACTTGCAGATTCTACTACAAGGGTGTTGCAAACCTGAACTATCAAAGGAAGGTTCAACTCTGTGAGTTGAATACAAACATCACAAAGAATGTTCTGAGTTTGCTTCCGTTCAGTTATGGGAAGTTGATCCCGTTTCCAACGAAATCCTCAGAGAGGTCCAAATATCCCCTCGCAGATTCTACAAAACGTGTGTTTGGAAACTGCTCCATCATAACGAATGTTCAGCTCCCTGAGTTAAACTCCATCGTCACAAAGAATTTTCTGAGAGTGCTACCGTCTGGTTTTTATATGAAGTTCTTTCCTTCCCTACCACAGGCCTCAAAGCGGTCCAAATCTCCACTTGCAGATTCTACAAAAAGAGTGTTTGCAAACTGCTCTATCAAAAGGAATGTTCAACTCTGGGAGTTGAATGCAATCATCACAGAGCAGTTTCTGAGAATGCTTCTATGTCGTTTTTAGGAGAAGATATTTCCTTTTCCAACACAGTCCTCCAAGCCCGCTAAATATCCACTTGCACATTGTAGAAAAAGTGTGTCGAAGCTGCGCTATCAAAGGGAAAATTCAACTCTCTGAGGTGAATGCAAACATCCAAAAGAAGTTTCTGAGAATGCTTCCCGTTTAGCTTTTAGGTGAGGATTATCCCGTTTCCAACGAAACCTTCAAAGAGGTCCAAATATCCCCTTGCGGATCCCACAGAAAGAGTGTTTCGAAACTGCTGTTTCAAAAGGAATCTTCAACTCTGTGAGTTGAATGCAATCATCACAAAGAAGTTTCTGACAATGCTTCTCTCTCGTCTTTCTGTGAAGATAAAGGAAAAGGCTTTCAGGCCTTTTCCAACCACAGGCCTGAAAGCGCTCCAAATGTCCACTTGCAGATTCTGCGAAAAGAATATTTCAAAACTGCTCTATGAAAAGCAATGTTAAACTCTGTGGCTCGAACACAAACATCACAAAGCAGTTTCTGAGAATGCTTCAGTTTAGTTTTTCTGTGGAAATATTCCCGTTTCCAAAGAAATCTTCAAAGAGGTCCACGTATCCACTTACAGATTCTACAAAAAGACAGTTTCAAAACTGCTCCATCAAAAGGAGGGTTCAACTGTGTGACTTGAATGCAATCATCACTCAGAAGTTTCTGAGAATGCTTCTCTTTAGTTTTTACGTGAACATATACCCGTTTCGAACGAAGGCCACCCAGTGGTCCAAATATCCACTTGCAGATTCTACAGAAAGAGTGTTTCGAACCTGAACTCTCAAAGGCAGGTTCATCTCTGCGAGTTAAATGCATTCATCATGAAGAACTTTCTCAGAGTGTTTGTGTTTAGTTATGGGAAATTATTCCCGTTTCCAACGAAATCCTCAGAGAGCTGCAAATATCCACCTGCAGATTCTACCAAAAGTGTATTTGGAAACTGCTCCATCAAAAGGCATGTTCAGCTCTGTGAGTGAAACTCCATCATCACAACGAATATTCTGAGAATGCTTCCGTTTGCCTTTTATATGAAGTTCCTTCCTATACGACCGTAGGCCTCAAAGCAGTCCAAATCTCCATTTGCAGATTCTACAAAAAGAGTGATTCCAATCTGCTCTATCAATAGGATTGTTCAACTCCCATGAGTTGAATGCCATCCTCACAAAGTAGTTTCTGAGAATGCTTCTATCTGGTTTTTGTGTGAAGATATTTCCTTTTCCACCACAGGCCTCAAAGCCCTCCAAACGTCCACTTGCAGATTCTCGAAAAAGAGTGTTTCATAGCTGCTCTTTCAAAAGGAAAGTTCAACTCTAGGAGTTGAATACAAACATCACAAAGTAGTTTCCGAGAATGCTTCTGTTTAGTTTTTATGTGAAGATGATCCCGTTTCCAGTGAAATCTTCAAAGAGGTCCACATATCCCCTTGCAGATTCCAAAGAAAGAGGGTTTCAAACCTGCTCCATCAGAAGGATTGTTCAACTCTGTGAGTTGAATGCAGTCATCGCAGAAAACTTTCTGAGAATGCTTCTGTCTAGGTTTGATGTGAAGATATAGACGTTTCAAACGAAGGCTACAAAGTGGTCAAAATATACACTTGCAGATTCTACTACAAGGGTGTTGCAAACCTGAACTATCAAAGGAAGGTTCAACTCTGTGAGTTGAATACAAACATCACAAAGAATGTTCTGAGTTTGCTTCCGTTCAGTTATGGGAAGTTGATCCCGTTTCCAAAGAAATCCTCAGAGAGGTCCAAATATCCCCTCGCAGATTCTACAAAACGTGTGTTTGGAAACTGCTCCATCATAACGAATGTTCAGCTCCCTGAGTTAAACTCCATCGTCACAAAGAATTTTCTGAGAGTGCTACCGTCTGGTTTTTATATGAAGTTCTTTCCTTCACTACCACAGGCCTCAAAGCGGTCCAAATCTCCACTTGCAGATTCTACAAAAAGAGTGTTTGCAAACTGCTCTATCAAAAGGAATGTTCAACTCTGGGAGTTGAATGCAATCATCACAGAGCAGTTTCTGAGAATGCTTCTATGTCGTTTTTAGGAGAAGATATTTCCTTTTCCAACACAGTCCTCCAAGCCCGCTAAATAGCCACTTGCACATTGTAGAAAAAGTGTGTCAAAGCTGCGCTATCAAAGGGAAAGTTCAACTCTGTGAGGTGAATGCAAACATCCCAAAGAAGTTTCTGAGAATGCTTCCGTTTAGCTTTTAGGTGAAGATTATCCCGTTTCCAACGAAACCTTCAAAGAGGTCCAAATATCCCCTTGCGGATCCCACAGAAAGAGTGTTTCGAAACTGCTGTTTCAAAAGGAATCTTCAACTCTGTGAGTTGAATGCAATCATCACAAAGAAGTTTCTGACAATGCTTCTCTCTCGTCTTTCTGTGAAGATAAAGGAAAAGGCTTTCAGGCCTTTTCCACCACAGGCCTGAAAGCGCTCCAAATGTCCACTTGCAGATTCTGCCAAAAGAATATTTCAAAACTGCTCTATGAAACGCAATGTTAAACTCTGTGGCTCGAACACAAACATCACAAAGCGGTTTCTGAGAATGCTTCAGTTTAGTTTTTCTGTGGAAATATTCCCGTTTCCAAAGAAATCTTCAAAGAGGTCCACGTATCCACTTACAGATTCTACAAAAAGACAGTTTCAAAACTGCTCCATCAAAAGGAGGGTTCAACTGTGTGACTTGAATGCAATCATCACTCAGAAGTTTCTGAGAATGCTTCTCTTTAGTTTTTAGGTGAACATATACCCGTTTCGAACGAACGCCACCCAGTGGTCCAAATATCCACTTGCAGATTCTACAGAAAGAGTGTTTCGAACCTGAACTCTCAAAGGCAGGTTCATCTCTGCGAGTTAAATGCATTCATCATGAAGAACTTTCTCAGAGTGTTTGTGTTTAGTTATGGGAAATTATTCCCGTTTCCAACGAAATCCTCAGAGAGCTCCAAATATCCACCTGCAGATTCTACCAAAAGTGTATTTGGAAACTGCTCCATCAAAAGGCATGTTCAGCTCTGTCAGTGAAACTCCATCATCACAAAGAATATTCTGAGAATGCTTCCGTTTGCCTTTTATATGAACTTCCTTCCTGTACTACCGTAGGCCTCAAAGCAGTCCAAATCTCCATTTGCAGATTCTACAAAAAGAGTGATTCCAATCTTCTCTATCAATAGGATTGTTCAACTCCATGAGTTGAATGCCATCCTCACAAAGTAGTTTCTGAGAATGCTTCTATCTGGTTTTTGTGTGAAGATATTTCCTTTTCCACCACAGGCCTCAAAGCCCCCCAAACGTCCACTTGCAGATTCTCGAAAAAGAGTGTTTCATAGCTTCTCTTTCAAAAGGAAAGTTCAACTCTGGGAGTTGAATACAAACATCACAAAATAGTTTCCGAGAATGCTTCTGTTTAGTTTTTATGTGAAGATGATCCCGTTTCCAGTGAAATCTTCAAAGAGGTCCACATATCCCCTTGCAGATTCCAAAGAAAGAGGGTTTCAAAACTGCTCCATCAAAAGGATTGTTCAACTCTGTGTGTTGAATGCAGTCATCGCAGAAAACTTTCTGAGAATGCTTCTGTCTAGGTTTGATGTGAAGATATAGACGTTTCAAACGAAGGCTACAAAGTGGTCAAAATATACACTTGCAGATTCTACTACAAGGGTGTTGCAAACCTGAACTATCAAAGGAAGGTTCAACTCTGTGAGTTGAATACAAACATCACAAAGAATGTTCTGAGTTTGCTTCCGTTCAGTTATGGGAAGTTGATCCCGTTTCCAACGAAATCCTCAGAGAGGTCCAAATATCCCCTTGCAGATTCTACAAAACGTGTGTTTGGAAACTGCTCCATCATAACGAATGTTCAGCTCCCTGAGTTAAACTCCATCGTCACAAAGAATTTTCTGAGAGTGCTACCGTCTGGTTTTTATATGAAGTTCTTTCCTTCACTACCACAGGCCTCAAAGCGGTCCAAATCTCCACTTGCAGATTCTACAAAAAGAGTGTTTGCAAACTGCTCTATCAAAAGGAATGTTCAACTCTGGGAGTTGAATGCAATCATCACAGAGCAGTTTCTGAGAATGCTTCTATGTCGTTTTTAGGAGAAGATATTTCCTTTTCCAACACAGTCCTCCAAGCCCGCTAAATAGCCACTTGCACATTGTAGAAAAAGTGTGTCAAAGCTGCGCTATCAAAGGGAAAGTTCAACTCTGTGAGGTGAATGCAAACATCCCAAAGAAGTTTCAGAGAATGCTTCCGTTTAGCTTTTAGGTGAAGATTATCCCGTTTCCAACGAAACCTTCAAAGAGGTCCAAATATCCCCTTGCGGATCCCACAGAAAGAGTGTTTCGAAACTGCTGTTTCAAAAGGAATCTTCAACTCTGTGAGTTGAATGCAATCATCACAAAGAAGTTTCTGACAATGCTTCTCTCTCGTCTTTCTGTGAAGATAAAGGAAAAGGCTTTCAGGCCTCTTCCACCACAGGCCTGAAAGCGCTCCAAATGTCCACTTGCAGATTCTGCGAAAAGAATATTTCAAAACTGCTCTATGAAAAGCAATGGTAAACTCTGTGGCTCGAACACAAACATCACAAAGCGGTTTCTGAGAATGCTTCAGTTTAGTTTTTCTGTGGAAATATTCCCGTTTCCAAAGAAATCTTCAAAGAGGTCCACGTATCCACTTACAGATTCTACAAAAAGACAGTTTCAAAACTGCTCCATCAAAAGGAGGGTTCAACCGTGTGACTTGAATGCAATCATCACTCAGAAGTTTCTGAGAATGCTTCTCTTTAGTTTTTACGTGAACATATACCCGTTTCGAACGAAGGCCACCCAGTGGTCCAAATATCCACTTGCAGATTATACAGAAAGAGTGTTTCGAACCTGAACTCTCAAAGGCAGGTTCATCTCTGCGAGTTAAATGCATTCATCATGAAGAACTTTCTCAGAGTGTTTGTGTTTAGTTATGGGAAATTATTCCCGTTTCCAACGAAATCCTCAGAGAGCTCCAAATATCCACCTGCAGATTCTACCAAAAGTGTATTTGGAAACTGCTCCATCAAAAGGCATGTTCAGCTCTGTGAGTGAAACTCCATCATCACAAAGAATATTCTGAGAATGCTTCCGTTTGCCTTTTATATGAAGTTCCTTCCTGTACTACCGTAGGCCTCAAAGCAGTCCAAATCTCCATTTGCAGATTCTACAAAAAGAGTGATTCCAATCTGCTCTATCAATAGGATTGTTCAACTCCATGAGTTGAATGCCATCCTCACAAAGCAGTTTCTGAGAATGCTTCTATCTGGTTTTTGTGTGAAGATATTTCCTTTTCCACCACAGGCCTCAAAGCCCTCCAAACGTCCACTTGCAGTTTCTCGAAAAAGAGTGTTTCATAGCTACTCTTTCAAAAGGAAAGTTCAACTCTGGGAGTTGAATACAAACATCACAAAATAGTTTCCGAGAATGCTTCTGTTTAGTTTTTATGTGAAGATGATCCCGTTTCCAGTGAAATCTTCAAAGAGGTCCACATATCCCCTTGCAGATTCCAAAGAAAGAGGGTTTCAAAACTGCTCCATCAGAAGGATTGTTCAACTCTGTGAGTTGAATGCAGTCATCGCAGAAAACTTTCTGAGAATGCTTCTGTCTAGGTTTGATGTGAAGATATAGACGTTTCAAACGAAGGCTACAAAGTGGTCAAAATATACACTTGCAGATTCTACTACAAGGGTGTTGCAAACCTGAACTATCAAAGGAAGGTTCAACTCTGTGAGTTGAATACAAACATCACAAAGAATGTTCTGAGTTTGCTTCCGTTCAGTTATGGGAAGTTGATCCCGTTTCCAACGAAATCCTCAGAGAGGTCCAAATATCCCCTCGCAGATTCTACAAAACGTGTGTTTGGAAACTGCTCCATCATAACGAATGTTCAGCTCCCTGAGTTAAACTCCATCGTCACAAAGAATTTTCTGAGAGTGCTACCGTCTGGTTTTTATATGAAGTTCTTTCCTTCACTACCACAGGCCTCAAAGCGGTCCAAATCTCCACTTGCAGATTCTACAAAAAGAGTGTTTGCAAACTGCTCTATCAAAAGGAATGTTCAACTCTGGGAGTTGAATGCAATCATCACAGAGCAGTTTCTGAGAATGCTTCTATGTCGTTTTTAGGAGAAGATATTTCCTTTTCCAACACAGTCCTCCAAGCCCGCTAAATAGCCACTTGCACATTGTAGAAAAAGTGTGTCAAAGCTGCGCTATCAAAGGGAAAGTTCAACTCTGTGAGGTGAATGCAAACATCCCAAAGAAGTTTCTGAGAATGCTTCCGTTTAGCTTTTAGGTGAGGATTATCCCGTTTCCAACGAAACCTTCAAAGAGGTCCAAATATCCCCTTGCGGATCCCACAGAAAGAGTGTTTCGAAACTGCTGTTTCAAAAGGAATCTTCAACTCTGTGAGTTGAATGCAATCATCACAAAGAAGTTTCTGACAATGCTTCTCTCTCGTCTTTCTGTGAAGATAAAGGAAAAGGCTTTCAGGCCTTTTCCACCACAGGCCTGAAAGCGCTCCAAATGTCCACTTGCAGATTCTGCGAAAAGAATATTTCAAAACTGCTCTATGAAAAGCAATGTTAAACTCTGTGGCTCGAACACAAACATCACAAAGCGGTTTCTGAGAATGCTTCAGTTTAGTTTTTCTGTGGAAATATTCCCGTTTCCAAAGAAATCTTCAAAGAGGTCCACGTATCCACTTACAGATTCTACAAAAAGACAGTTTCAAAACTGCTCCATCAAAAGGAGGGTTCAACCGTGTGACTTGAATGCAATCATCACTCAGAAGTTTCTGAGAATGCTTCTCTTTAGTTTTTACGTGAACATATACCCGTTTCGAACGAAGGCCACCCAGTGGTCCAAATATCCACTTGCAGATTATACAGAAAGAGTGTTTCGAACCTGAACTCTCAAAGGCAGGTTCATCTCTGCGAGTTAAATGCATTCATCATGAAGAACTTTCTCAGAGTGTTTGTGTTTAGTTATGGGAAATTATTCCCGTTTCCAACGAAATCCTCAGAGAGCTCCAAATATCCACCTGCAGATTCTACCAAAAGTGTATTTGGAAACTGCTCCATCAAAAGGCATGTTCAGCTCTGTGAGTGAAACTCCATCATCACAAAGAATATTCTGAGAATGCTTCCGTTTGCCTTTTATATGAAGTTCCTTCCTGTACTACCGTAGGCCTCAAAGCAGTCCAAATCTCCATTTGCAGATTCTACAAAAAGAGTGATTCCAATCTGCTCTATCAATAGGATTGTTCAACTCCATGAGTTGAATGCCATCCTCACAAAGCAGTTTCTGAGAATGCTTCTATCTGGTTTTTGTGTGAAGATATTTCCTTTTCCACCACAGGCCTCAAAGCCCTCCAAACGTCCACTTGCAGATTCTCGAAAAAGAGTGTTTCATAGCTGCTCTTTCAAAAGGAAAGTTCAACTCTGGCAGTTGAATACAAACATCACAAAGTAGTTTCCGAGAATGCTTCTGTTTAGTTTTTATGTGAAGATGATCCCGTTTCCAGTGAAATCTTCAAAGAGGTCCACATATCCCCTTGCAGATTCCAAAGAAAGAGGGTTTCAAAACTGCTCCATCAGAAGGATTGTTCAACTCTGTGAGTTGAATGCAGTCATCGCAGAAAACTTTCTGAGAATGCTTCTGTCTAGGTTTGATGTGAAGATATAGACGTTTCAAACGAAGGCTACAAAGTGGTCAAAATATACACTTGCAGATTCTACTACAAGGGTGTTGCAAACCTGAACTATCAAAGGAAGGTTCAACTCTGTGAGTTGAATACAAACATCACAAAGAATGTTCTGAGTTTGCTTCCGTTCAGTTATGGGAAGTTGATCCCGTTTCCAACGAAATCCTCAGAGAGGTCCAAATATCCCCTTGCAGATTCTACAAAACGTGTGTTTGGAAACTGCTCCATCATAACGAATGTTCAGCTCCCTGAGTTAAACTCCATCGTCACAAAGAATTTTCTGAGAGTGCTACCGTCTGGTTTTTATATGAAGCTCTTTCCTTCACTACCACAGACCTCAAAGCGGTCCAAATCTCCACTTGCAGATTCTACAAAAAGAGTGTTTGCAAACTGCTCTATCAAAAGGAATGTTCAACTCTGGGAGTTGAATGCAATCATCACAGAGCAGTTTCTGAGAATGCTTCTATGTCGTTTTTAGGAGAAGATATTTCCTTTTCCAACACAGTCCTCCAAGCCCGCTAAATAGCCACTTGCACATTGTAGAAAAAGTGTGTCAAAGCTGCGCTATCAAAGGGAAAGTTCAACTCTGTGAGGTGAATGCAAACATCCCAAAGAAGTTTCTGAGAATGCTTCCGTTTAGCTTTTAGGTGAAGATTATCCCGTTTCCAACGAAACCTTCAAAGAGGTCCAAATATCCCCTTGCGGATCCCACAGAAAGAGTGTTTCGAAACTGCTGTTTCAAAAGGAATCTTCAACTCTGTGAGTTGAATGCAATCATCACAAAGAAGTTTCTGACAATGCTTCTCTCTCGTCTTTCTGTGAAGATAAAGGAAAAGGCTTTCAGGCCTTTGCAACCACAGGCCTGAAAGCGCTCCAAATGTCCACTTGCAGATTCTGCGAAAAGAATATTTCAAAACTGCTCTATGAAAAGCAATGTTAAACTCTGTGGCTCGAACACAAACATCACAAAGCAGTTTCTGAGAATGCTTCAGTTTAGTTTTTCTGTGGAAATATTCCCGTTTCCAAAGAAATCTTCAAAGAGGTCCACGCATCCACTTACAGATTCTACAAAAAGACAGTTTCAAAACTGCTCCATCAAAAGGAGGGTTCAACTGTGTGACTTGAATGCAATCATCACTCAGAAGTTTCTGAGAATGCTTCTCTTTAGTTTTTACGTGAACATATACCCGTTTCGAACGAAGGCCACCCAGTGGTCCAAATATCCACTTGCAGATTATACAGAAAGAGTGTTTCGAACCTGAACTCTCAAAGGCAGGTTCATCTCTGCGAGTTAAATGCATTCATCATGAAGAACTTTCTCAGAGTGTTTGTGTTTAGTTATGGGAAATTATTCCCGTTTCCAACGAAATCCTCAGAGAGCTCCAAATATCCACCTGCAGATTCTACCAAAAGTGTATTTGGAAACTGCTCCATCAAAAGGCATGTTCAGCTCTGTCAGTGAAACTCCATCATCACAAAGAATATTCTGAGAATGCTTCCGTTTGCCTTTTATCTGAAGTTCCTTCCTATACGACCGTAGGCCTCAAAGCAGTCCAAATCTCCATTTGCAGATTCCACAAAAAGAGTGATTCCAATCTGCTCTATCAATAGGATTGTTCAACTCCATGAGGTTGAATGCCATCCTCACAAAGTCGTTTCTGAGAATGCTTCTATCTAGTTTTTATGTGAAGATATTTCCTTTTCCACCACAGGCCTCAAAGCCTTCCAAACGTCCACTTGCAGATTCCCGAAAAAGAGTGTTTCATAGCTGCTCTTTCAAAAGGAAAGTTCAACTCTGGGAGTTGAATACAAACATCACAAAGTAGTTTCCGAGAATGCTTCTGTTTAGTTTTTATGTGAAGATGATCCCGTTTCCAGTGAAATCTTCAAAGAGGTCCACATATCCCCTTGCAGATTCCAAAGAAAGAGGGTTTCAAAACTGCTCCATCAGAAGGATTGTTCAACTCTGTGAGTTGAATGCAGTCATCGCAGAAAACTTTCTGAGAATGCTTCTGTCTAGGTTTGATGTGAAGATATAGACGTTTCAAACGAAGGCTACAAAGTGGTCAAAATATACACTTGCAGATTCTACTACAAGGGTGTTGCAAACCTGAACTATCAAAGGAAGGTTCAACTCTGTGAGTTGAATACAAACATCACAAAGAATGTTCTGAGTTTGCTTCCGTTCAGTTATGGGAAGTTGATCCCGTTTCCAACGAAATCCTCAGAGAGGTCCAAATATCCCCTTGCAGATTCTACAAAACGTGTGTTTGGAAACTGCTCCATCATAACGAATGTTCAGCTCCCTGAGTTAAACTCCATCGTCACAAAGAATTTTCTGAGAGTGCTACCGTCTGGTTTTTATATGAAGCTCTTTCCTTCACTACCACAGGCCTCAAAGCGGTCCAAATCTCCACTTGCAGATTCTACAAAAAGAGTGTTTGCAAACTGCTCTATCAAAAGGAATGTTCAACTCTGGGAGTTGAATGCAATCATCACAGAGCAGTTTCTGAGAATGCTTCTATGTCGTTTTTAGGAGAAGATATTTCCTTTTCCAACACAGTCCTCCAAGCCCGCTAAATAGCCACTTGCACATTGTAGAAAAAGTGTGTCAAAGCTGCGCTATCAAAGGGAAAGTTCAACTCTGTGAGGTGAATGCAAACATCCCAAAGAAGTTTCTGAGAATGCTTCCGTTTAGCTTTTAGGTGAAGATTATCCCGTTTCCAACGAAACCTTCAAAGAGGTCCAAATATCCCCTTGCGGATCCCACAGAAAGAGTGTTTCGAAACTGCTGTTTCAAAAGGAATCTTCAACTCTGTGAGTTGAATGCAATCATCACAAAGAAGTTTCTGACAATGCTTCTCTCTCGTCTTTCTGTGAAGATAAAGAAAAGGCTTTCAGGCCTTTTCCACCACAGGCCTGAAAGCGCTCCAAATGTCCACTTGCAGATTCTGCGAAAAGAATATTTCAAAACTGCTCTATGAAAAGCAATGTTAAACTCTGTGGCTGGAACACAAACATCACAAAGCAGTTTCTGAGAATGCTTCAGTTTAGTTTTTCTGTGGAAATATTCCCGTTTCCAAAGAAATCTTCAAAGAGGTCCACGTATCCACTTACAGATTCTACAAAAAGACAGTTTCAAAACTGCTCCATCAAAAGGAGGGTTCAACTGTGTGACTTGAATGCAATCATCACTCAGAAGTTTCTGAGAATGCTTCTCTTTAGTTTTTACGTGAACATATACCCGTTTCGAACGAAGGCCACCCAGTGGTCCAAATATCCACTTGCAGATTATACAGAAAGAGTGTTTCGAACCTGAACTCTCAAAGGCAGGTTCATCTCTGCGAGTTAAATGCATTCATCATGAAGAACTTTCTCAGAGTGTTTGTGTTTAGTTATGGGAAATTATTCCCGTTTCCAACGAAATCCTCAGAGAGCTCCAAATATCCACCTGCAGATTCTACCAAAAGTGTATTTGGAAACTGCTCCATCAAAAGGCATGTTCAGCTCTGTGAGTGAAACTCCATCATCACAAAGAATATTCTGAGAATGCTTCCGTTTGCCTTTTATATGAAGTTCCTTCCTGTACTACCGTAGGCCTCAAAGCAGTCCAAATCTCCATTTGCAGATTCTACAAAAAGAGTGATTCCAATCTGCTCTATCAATAGGATTGTTCAACTCCATGAGTTGAATGCCATCCTCACAAAGTCGTTTCTGAGAATGCTTCTATCTGGTTTTTGTGTGAAGATATTTCCTTTTCCACCACAGGCCTCAAAGCCCTCCAAACGTCCACTTGCAGATTCTCGAAAAAGAGTGTTTCATAGCTGCTCTTTCAAAAGGAAAGTTCAACTCTGGGAGTTGAATACAAACATCACAAAATAGTTTCCGAGAATGCTTCTGTTTAGTTTTTATGTGAAGATGATCCCGTTTCCAGTGAAATCTTCAAAGAGGTCCACATATCCCCTTGCAGATTCCAAAGAAAGAGGGTTTCAAAACTGCTCCATCAGAAGGATTGTTCAACTCTGTGAGTTGAATGCAGTCATCGCAGAAAACTTTCTGAGAATGCTTCTGTCTAGGTTTGATGTGAAGATATAGACGTTTCAAACGAAGGCTACAAAGTGGTCAAAATATACACTTGCAGATTCTACTACAAGGGTGTTACAAACCTGAACTATCAAAGGATGGTTCAACTCTGTGAGTTGAATACAAACATCACAAAGAATGTTCTGAGTTTGCTTCCGTTCAGTTATGGGAAGTTGATCCCGTTTCCAACGAAATCCTCAGAGAGGTCCAAATATCCCCTCGCAGATTCTACAAAACGTGTGTTTGGAAACTGCTCCATCATAACGAATGTTCAGCTCCCTGAGTTAAACTCCATCGTCACAAAGAATTTTCTGAGAGTGCTACCGTCTGGTTTTTATATGAAGTTCTTTCCTTCACTACCACAGGCCTCAAAGCGGTCCAAATCTCCACTTGCAGATTCTACAAAAAGAGTGTTTGCAAACTGCTCTATCAAAAGGAATGTTCAACTCTGGGAGTTGAATGCAATCATCACAGAGCAGTTTCTGAGAATGCTTCTATGTCGTTTTTAGGAGAAGATATTTCCTTTTCCAACACAGTCCTCCAAGCCCGCTAAATAGCCACTTGCACATTGTAGAAAAAGTGTGTCGAAGCTGCGCTATCAAAGGGAAAGTTCAACTCTGTGAGGTGAATGCAAACATCCCAAAGAAGTTTCTGAGAATGCTTCCGTTTAGCTTTTAGGTGAAGATTATCCCGTTTCCAACGAAACCTTCAAAGAGGTCCAAATATCCCCTTGCGGATCCCACAGAAAGAGTGTTTCGAAACTGCTGTTTCAAAAGGAATCTTCAACTCTGTGAGTTGAATGCAATCATCACAAAGAAGTTTCTGACAATGCTTCTCTCTCGTCTTTCTGTGAAGATAAAGGAAAAGGCTTTCAGGCCTTTTCCACCACAGGCCTGAAAGCGCTCCAAATGTCCACTTGCAGATTCTGCGAAAAGAATATTTCAAAACTGCTCTATGAAAAGCAAAGTTAAACTCTGTGGCTCGAACACAAACATCACAAAGCGGTTTCTGAGAATGCTTCAGTTTAGTTTTTCTGTGGAAATATTCCCGTTTCCAAAGAAATCTTCAAAGAGGTCCACGTATCCACTTACAGATTCTACAAAAAGACAGTTTCAAAACTGCTCCATCAAAAGGAGGGTTCAACTGTGTGACTTGAATGCAATCATCACTCAGAAGTTTCTGAGAATGCTTCTCTTTAGTTTTTACGTGAACATATACCCGTTTCGAACGAAGGCCAGCCAGTGGTCCAAATATCCACTTGCAGATTCTACAGAAAGAGTGTTTCGAACCTGAACTCTCAAAGGCAGGTTCATCTCTGCGAGTTAAATGCATTCATCATGAAGAACTTTCTCAGAGTGTTTGTGTTTAGTTATGGGAAATTATTCCCGTTTCCAACGAAATCCTCAGAGAGCTCCAAATATCCACCTGCAGATTCTACCAAAAGTGTATTTGGAAACTGCTCCATCAAAAGGCATGTTCAGCTCTGTGAGTGAAACTCCATCATCACAAAGAATATTCTGAGAATGCTTCCGTTTGCCTTTTATATGAAGTTCCTTCCTATACGACCGTAGGCCTCAAAGCAGTCCAAATCTCCATTTGCAGATTCTACAAAAAGAGTGATTCCAATCTGCTCTATCAATAGGATTGTTCAACTCCATGAGTTGAATGCCATCCTCACAAAGTCGTTTCTGAGAATGCTTCTATCTAGTTTTTATGTGAAGATATTTCCTTTTCCACCACAGGCCTCAAAGCCCTCCAAACGTCCACTTGCAGATTCTCGAGAAAGAGTGTTTCATAGCTGCTCTTTCAAAAGGAAAGTTCAACTCTGGGAGTTGAATACAAACATCACAAAGTAGTTTCCGAGAATGCTTCTGTTTAGTTTTTATGTGAAGATGATCCCGTTTCCAGTGAAATCTTCAAAGAGGTCCACATATCCCCTTGCAGATTCCAAAGAAAGAGGGTTTCAAAACTGCTCCATCAGAAGGATTGTTCAACTCTGTGAGTTGAATGCAGTCATCGCAGAAAACTTTCTGAGAATGCTTCTGTCTAGGTTTGATGTGAAGATATAGACGTTTCAAACGAAGGCTACAAAGTGGTCAAAATATACACTTGCAGATTCTACTACAAGGGTGTTGCAAACCTGAACTATCAAAGGAAGGTTCAACTCTGTGAGTTGAATACAAACATCACAAAGAATGTTCTGAGTTTGCTTCCGTTCAGTTATGGGAAGTTGATCCCGTTTCCAACGAAATCCTCAGAGAGGTCCAAATATCCCCTCGCAGATTCTACAAAACGTGTGTTTGGAAACTGCTCCATCATAAAGAATGTTCAGCTCCCTGAGTTAAACTCCATCGTCACAAAGAATTTTCTGAGAGTGCTACCGTCTGGTTTTTATATGAAGTTCTTTCCTTCACTACGACAGGCCTCAAAGCGGTCCAAATCTCCACTTGCAGATTCTACAAAAAGAGTGTTTGCAAACTGCTCTATCAAAAGGAATGTTCAACTCTAGGAGTTGAATGCAATCATCACAGAGCAGTTTCTGAGAATGCTTCTATGTCGTTTTTAGGAGAAGATATTTCCTTTTCCAACACAGTCCTCCAAGCCCGCTAAATAGCCACTTGCACATTGTAGAAAAAGTGTGTCAAAGCTGCGCTATCAAAGGGAAAGTTCAACTCTGTGAGGTGAATGCAAACATCCCAAAGAAGTTTCTGAGAATGCTTCCGTTTAGCTTTTAGGTGAAGATTATCCCGTTTCCAACGAAACCTTCAAAGAGGTCCAAATATCCCCTTGCGGATCCCACAGAAAGAGTGTTTCAAAACTGCTGTTTCAAAAGGAATCTTCAACTCTGTGAGTTGAATGCAATCATCACAAAGAAGTTTCTGACAATGCTTCTCTCTCGTCTTTCTGTGAAGATAAAGGAAAAGGCTTTCAGGCCTTTTCCACCACAGGCCTGAAAGCGCTCCAAATGTCCACTTGCAGATTCTGCGAAAAGAATATTTCAAAACTGCTCTATGAAAAGCAATGTTAAACTCTGTGGCTCGAACACAAACATCACAAAGCGGTTTCTGAGAATGCTTCAGTTTAGTTTTTCTGTGGAAATATTCCCGTTTCCAAAGAAATCTTCAAAGAGGTCCACGTATCCACTTACAGATTCTACAAAAAGACAGTTTCAAAACTGCTCCATCAAAAGGAGGGTTCAACTGTGTGACTTGAATGCAATCATCACTCAGAAGTTTCTGAGAATGCTTGTCTTTAGTTTTTACGTGAACATATACCCGTTTCGAACGAAGGCCAGCCAGTGGTCCAAATATCCACTTGCAGATTCTACAGAAAGAGTGTTTCGAACATGAACTCTCAAAGGCAGGTTCATCTCTGCGAGTTAAATGCATTCATCATGAAGAACTTTCTCAGAGTGTTTGGGATATAGTCTTGTGGTGCGCCGTTTCTTAAGCCGGTCTGAAAAGCGCAATATTCGGGTGGGAGTGACCCGATTTTCCAGGTGCGTCCGTCACCCCTTTCTTTGACTCGGAAAGGGAACTCCCTGACCCGTGCGCTTCCCAGGTGAGGCAATGCCTCGCCCTGCTTCGGCTCGCGCACGGTGCGCACACACACTGGCCTGCGCCCACTGTCTGGCACTCCCTATTGAGATGAACCCGGTACCTCAGATGGAAATGCAGAAATCACCGTCTTCTGCGTCGCTCACGCTGGGAGCTGTAGACCGGAGCTGTTCCTATTCGGCCATCTTGGCTCCTCCCTCCTGTCTCTCTCAGAATATTCTTTGTGATGATGGAGTTTCACTCACAGAGCTGAACATGCCTTTTGATGGAGCAGTTTCCAAATACACTTTTGGTAGAATCTGCAGGTGGATATTTGGAGCTCTCTGAGGATTTCGTTGGAAACGGGAATAATTTCCCATAACTAAACACA